>NW_025791814.1:680518-850648 GCF_000001405.40 Homo sapiens | reverse complement strand
TGTCACCGTCTGCAAAGTGGAGCCTTTGTTTACCTAGCGGAGCTGTTGTTCATCTCGAGTGTTAGAAGGTTGTCTGGTATGAGATACTATGAAGCATACAATAAATGTTATTCTCACTTCTGACCAGTGAAGTTCATTCGAAATATCTGGGGCTTCTCTTCTCTCTTACAAATATGTAACTAGGTATGCACCTGCTTTAGAAAGTCATGGAGAAGCTCAGATGTGTGACAAGTAGGCCTTCATTATATTTATAAATCTTTTATTTAACTTGTAAATTCTGGAAGTCACGTTTTATTTCTTCACATAACCAACACTCCAGAAACACTTGTTATAGGCCCTTAAATGAATTAAAAAGCCAAATGTGTATGAACACATTTGATGATATTTACTTGTAGAAGCGAAAAGAGAAACAATTTAAATGAAAAGAGCAGAAAAACAGTTCATAAGAATATGTATAAATTGTGCATTCACTGATATTTACTTGTGAAGTCCGTATAGAACCATGGAATAATGTAGATGATGTATAAAAGAATTAAACAGTTATAAAAATGGTACATTTTACGTATGTACACTTTAACATGATATAATTATATAGATAAGGCATGGAGGCAGGTGGACCACAAGGGAAATGTAAAAATCAAAACAGACACTGTAGGCTGGTGGAGTTGAGTCATGCTTTTGTCAAAATTCTCTTTATTGTTATGTCCTATTTTAAATAAAAGTGTATTGTTGATTTGACATTGTATTTTCTGATAATGGTGCTTTTTTAACATGCTTTACTCTACAAAGAACTTAAATTTACAAGAAAAAAAACCCCATCAAAAAGTGGGCAAATGATATAAACAGACTCTTCTCAAAAGAAGACATTTATGCAGCCAACAAACGTGAAAAAAAGCTCATCATCACTGGTATTAGAGAAATGCAAATCAAAGCCACAATGAGATACCATCTCATGCCAGTTAGAATGGTGACCATTAAAAAGTCAGGAAACAACAGATGCTGGAGAGGATGTGGAGAAATAGGAACGCTTTAACACTGTTGGTGGGAGTGTAAATTAGTTCAACCATTGTGGAAGACAGTGTGGAGATTCCTCAAGGATCTAGAACCAGAAATACCAGTTGACCCAGCAATCCCATTACTGGGTATACACCCAAAAGATTATAAATTATTGTACTATAAAGACACATGCACACATATGTTTATTGTGGCACTATTCACAATAGCAAAGACTTGGAACCAACCCAAATGCCCATCAATGATAGACTGGATAAAGAAAATGTGGCACATACACACCATGGAATACTATGCAGCCATAAAAAACGATGAGTTCATATCCTTTGCAGGGATGTAGATGAAGCTGGAAACCATCATTCTCAACAAACTAACACAGGAACAGAAAAGCAAACACCGCGTGTTCTCACTCATAAGTGGGAGTTGAACAATGAGAACACGTGGACACAGGGAGGGGAACATCACACACCGGGGCCTGTTGGGGTTGGGGAACTAGGGGAGGGATAGCATTAGGAGAAATACCTAATGTAGATGACGGGTTGATGGGTGCAGCAAACCACCACGGCACGTGTATACCTATGTGACAAACCTGCACATTCTGCACATGTATCCCAGAACTTAAAGTATAATAAAAAATAAAATGTTTTACATATGATTTGCAATTTTAATTAAAAATGTGGCAAATTTCATTGCATAATAACCCTCAGTGAAGCTAGTAAAGAGAGCAATTTGATCCCAGCAACAAGATCTAGGCATTCACACATTCAGCTTCCCTTTACTGAGAGTCCAGTGAGAGCTGGGCTCTATGCTCCAGGTAATAGTGGGAGTAAATTAAGACCTTGTCCTCATGAGGCTTATCTCTAGTGGCAGAAGATAGACAATAAGTGAATATAAAATATATACAGTCCAATGGTGGTCAGTGTGGGGAGAGAACAGGGTTTGGGGCATGAGGCAAAAAAACAATCTATTAAAAATTAACATCCAGGATAACTTAACAGTTTGTGTACAAAATGTGAAATTAGGATGGTGCCTTATTTTTTAGTATCAGCCTGTCTGCTCACAGCATTTTCAGAAAATTTGAATTATTTGGTTTTATTTGAGCCTGCGCCTCATGATTAATTTTCAGGATAACTTTCTGAGGCCAGACATTGAACTGCAAATGTCAAAGGCATGTTTTACTCACCTATGGATCCCTGTGTTGTCTTCTTGCAGTTTTCAGTGAAGACCTACACTCCAGCCTCTACTTTGTCAATGCATCTCTGCAAGAGGTAGTGTTTGCCAGCACCACGGGGACTCTGGTGCCCTGCCCCGCAGCAGGCATCCCTCCTGTGACTCTCAGATGGTACCTAGCCACGGGCGAGGAGATCTACGATGTCCCCGGGATCCGCCACGTCCACCCCAACGGCACTCTCCAAATTTTCCCCTTCCCTCCTTCAAGCTTCAGTACCTTAATCCATGATAATACTTATTATTGCACAGCTGAAAATCCTTCAGGGAAAATTAGAAGTCAGGATGTCCACATCAAGGCTGGTGAGTACAGCTCTGGGCTTTGTTTTTTCTGTGCCTGCTTGGGATGGGAGGATAATGACAATGACACATAGCAAAATGCCATCACAGCAGAGAACCAATGAAAACCCCATCATCAGTTCATTCTGACCTTGCTGATGACTTCTTTAAGGTCTCCTTGTTTAGATTTCAAAGTGCCTTACATTGTTGGAACTAAACCTTGAAAGAAAGCAGTGATTAGCAAGTTGGCAAGTTCTAACATCCCAGCCTCCTTATATTTTGTCTAATTTGATACTCTAATTCAAATTTTCAGTGTCTCAAACCCAATGTGTTTGCTTCCACCCCTCCTTTTTTCCCACTTGCCCTTCCCCTACCCCATCCTAGGGGAGGAGAAAGAGAGAGAAAAAAATGACAAATGGTTGAGCTGGAATAAAACCATAGCATCAAGATGTACTGTTATGGAAACAGAATCAATCTAATATCCTTGCTTTCCTTGTGAAATAGAAAGGCTATTTTAACATTTTTGACTGTATCACATGTTGCTGAAATGTTGTCAGTACATAAATCCTGAATGGGCTATGTTCCTTTTAACAACATATTGTGTCTTTTTTTAATCACCATTGCTACAAGTCAACCCAGGAAAGAATACTGCCTGAGATACACAGACATCAAGGGCTATATATACAGGACAGATTGTGTGGTTCTATAGATTTAACAAAGCCCTGCAAAACAAACTCACAGCTAGACTCCTGTTAGCAAACAGCATTTTAATTTTTTTAAGTCTAGCTCTGAAATACTTGTGTAGACTGACATAATATAATAGCAGGGCAAAGAGAATGTGACTTTGATTTTTTTCTTATACACCAGGTAGCTGGGGGAGCTTTGCAATAATTTCTTCAGTAAGTGAGTAGGTGCTGGTAGAAGACATCACAACATGAGAAAAATATGAGGTGTTTCTGAATTCCTGCATATGATCTCTTTGATGTAAGCCATCAAACATTAGACTATGACTCATGCTGCTAGCTAGTCATTTTCCCAACTATATTTTGATCTTTGTGACATGCTCATGAATTCCAAGACCTGCATGAGAATTCACATAAGAAAGAAAAAAAGGATTGTCTTTAATCAAGATATATGAAAATTTGATGTGTCAAATAATTACAATGCAATTTGTATAGGGACCTCTAAACCTGACAAACAGGGAGATACAGTGAATGACTTTTACTGGGAAGACTGCACATTTTAATGATGTGTTATAAAAGCGTATTTATAATCTGCAAAACACCACTTATAGGGAAACCTAGAATTTCAAACAGCTCCATCTGTGCGTATTAATCCATTATGTCTGCCTTGGATTTTCTGTCAGATAAAGGAATGAAATGCTTACTCCTGTTTTAACTATCATCTTCTAAATTAGTCATAGAATTCATTGTTTTTGCATGACACTGAAAGTTTTAGAGCATGGACATTGCATCATCTTGTCTGGCGTCTGTGCTACCTGCCTCTTCCTACCCAGTTGTGCTTTTACTATTTATGTGCTGGCGTTCTTGACATCTGAAACCCTATGGACTATGAATCCAGCATATGGATGACTACTGTATCAGTTTGAACATATAAGATGGGCAGTCATATTACCCAAATCAAATTTCTCTCCTGATTTCATTTTGCTTTTTATTGTGAACACATAATGGTTATAATAATCTTTTAGGTTGTTCACTGGATACTTGAAAATCTTTTTTCATCCTGTTTATGTAAATATGAGTACAGAACTGGAAGCTTGTTCAAAAAGACAGATGAAGGGCATAAATGCTACCCTTTGACAGCTGAAGGGTAGGTTTGAGGGTGATGACTGCTCACTCACGGGGTATCCTCTTCTGTATCAGGTCATCCTAAATGTCTAAATATCCCTGTAGATTGGTGTTTGGATTTTCCTGGAATAAGCTATTAGGTAGAATGACTTCATAATCTTTCCCTTGGCAGCACAAGGGATTCTCATTCTTAAATTTCAGAAATTTTGACCTAGGTCTGGGTGCTAGCAATTGAAGGAAGGTTTACTCATCATGTCTCATTAATCATCAATCCTAGTCCTAACATAAGATATTTTCTTGCCTGTTCTAAGGGCTGGAATGCAGGTGGGCCACTTCAGACAGTATTGCTCCTTACCCAGGCTGCCTTTGCTACAGAGCAAGTAGCAATGAGCCGCCTGATCCTGGGCAAGTCAGAAGATTTCTCATGATTGTTTTCTCCTTAGCAGACTGTGCTTTCTTTCTTTCTTTCTTTCTTTTTTTTTTTTTTTTGAGACTGGAGTCTCGCTCTGTTTCCCAGGCTGGAGTGCAGTCGCGCGATCTCGGCTCACTGCAAGCTCCACCTCCCGGGTTCACGCCGTTTTCCTGCCCAGCCTCCAGAGTAGCTGGGACTACAGGCACCCGCCACCACACCCAGCTAACTTTTTTGTATTTTCAGTAGAGATGGGGTTTCACCGTGTTAGCCAGGATGGTCTCCATCTCCTGACCTCGTGATCTGCCCACCTCGGCCTCCCAAAGTGCTGGGATTACAGGCATGAGCGACCCCGGCCACAAACTGCTTTCTAACATTTGACTAGGACTTTTGCTTGTGGCCGAGATGGAGGTGTGGGAGCCACATTTACCCTTTTATCTGAAACAACCAAAAACCAGTGTCCTGAGGCTGATAGGGTTTAACTCTATGTCCGCACCCAAATCTCATCTTGAATGATAATCCCCATAATCCCCATGGGTCCTGGGAGGGACCCAGTGGAAGGTCATTGAATCATGGGGTAAGTTTCCCCCATTCTGTTCTCGTGAGAGTGAGTGAGTCTCACGAGATCTGATGGTTTTATAAGCATCTGGCACTTCCGTTGCTTGCATTCATTCTCTCTCCTGCCACCCTGTGAAGAGGTGCCTTATGCCATGATTGTACGTTTCCTGAGGCCTCCCCAGGCAGTTGAAACTGTGAGTTAATTAAACCTCTTTTCTTTATAAATTGCCCAGTCTTGGGTATTTCTTCATAGCAGTGTGAGAATGGACTAATACAACCAACTGAAAAAAAACAACGAAAAATGCAGACAAAATATCTGAAGCAACCATTTTCAAGACTGGACCTCAGGCAGTAGAGGAAAGCATTCCTTAAGGAGCTGGAAATAAGATGTGTCCTATGCTTGCCTTATGCTTTGGGATAAAGAATATCAAAATCTGCACATAAATTTGTATAGCAACTTTATTCCTAATTGCCAAAACATGGAAGCAACAAAGATGTTGTTTAGTATGTGAGTGGATGGGGATAAAGAATCTCTCCTTGACTAACTTTGGAAAGGCTCCTCTGAGCCCTCCTCTCAACTAGTTCTCAACCTTAGCTTTTCACATCTGGTCTCTTGTCCCCAGCTTTAGCAAGAATCCTGCTAAATCATCCCCTTACTCTTGATACTTGATCACTCTTAATATCTGATCAAGTTCTTCCAGTCCCATCTTTGATGTATACATGTTTGGCCTGATTTTAGCAAGAATCTGTTAGGCCAGTTTAGCAAGAATCCTCATCCCTTGATGTCTCCTCTTTCTAATTTTCCACCCACTGCTCCCCTCACTGTGTTCATTGGCTATAAACCCTCACTTATCCTTGTTGAATATGAAGTTGAATTACCCTTCCCTGTTGCAGTCATCATAGATGACTCCTACTGGAACAGACATGAATATAATCTTATCTTTTTAATAAGTGTTAGAACATTTTTTTCTGTTCTTTAATATTTTTGAGAGGACATCTCCCTCTCTTGTCCAGGTCGGAGTGCAGTGATGGGATCGTGGCTCACTGCAGCCTCAACTTCTGGGCTCAGGTGATTCCCCTCAGCCTCCCAAGTAGCTGCGGCTACAGGCATAAGTCACCACACCTGGCTAATTCTTTAAAAAAAAAAATTTTGTAGAGGGTATTCTCACTATGTTACCCAGGCCGGTCTCAAATTTCTGGGCTCAAGCCATCTGCCTGCCTCAGCTTCCCAAAGTGTTGGGATTACAGGAATGAGCCACAGGGCCCAGCTACAATTTTTCTTTAACATTAGACAAATTATAGTATAAAATGAAGTATTAGTCAGCGATAGAAAAAATGTGCTATCAAGCTATGAAAAGATATGGGGGAAATTTAAATGCCTGTTACTAAGTGAAAGAAGCCAGTCTGGAAAAGCAACATAGTATACCCTTCCACCTACTTGACATTCTGGAAGAGATAAACTAGAGAGACAGTAGAAAGATCAGTAGTTTCCAGGGGATAGTCAGGAGGGAGGGAGGGTTGAACAGACGGAGCACAGGGGATTTTTTTAGGGCAGTGAAACTGTTCTGTATGATACTGTAATGGTGATACCTGCCATTATGCATAGAACTTACAACATAGAGTGAAACTTAGTGTGAACTATGGACTTTAGTTAATAATAATAATGTATAAATATGAGTTTATTGTCACAAATGTATCACATTAATGCAAGATGATAATAATGAAAGAAATTAAAGGATGTGGCAAGAGGGAGAATATGGGAACCTGCTGTGAACTTTTCTCTAAACCTACAACTGCTCTAAAAAAAAATCAAGCTTTATTCAAAAAAATTAAAACATGCTTCAGGAAGCTTAATGACAAATTAAGCCCCAAGGGAAGGGATGGTGAAATTTAAAAAGAAGTGGAAAAATGCAGGCCAAAATTTTCCAAATTTGTTGAAAACTATAAACCCACAGATCCAAGGAGCTCAACAAACCCCAAGCTCAAGACACGTGAAGAAAAAATGCACAAAGGCACATCATAATATAATAAAATTGCTCAGCGCAATAATAAAATATCAAAAGCAGCTACAGAAGAAAGGCATATTACACACAAAGGAACAAAGATAAGAATGACAGTAGACAGGATTTTTGTTGTTGCTGTTGGGTGTGTGTGTGTGTGGATGTGTGTATATGTGTGTTTTATGAGACAGGGCCTTGCTCTGTCAACCAGGCTGGGGTGCAGTGGGGTGATCATCGCTCACTGCAGCCTCAGCTTCCCTGGCTCAAGTGATCCTCCCATCTCAGCCTCCCAAGTAGCTGGGACCAGAGGTGCATGCCGCCACATCAGGCTGATTTTTATTTTTATTTTTGTAGAGATGGAATCTCGCTATGTTGCCCAGGATGGTCGCTAACTCCTGGGCTCAAGAAGTTGCCCTGCCTTGGCCTCCCAAAGTGCTAGGATTACAGGCAAGAGTGGAAGTAAATTTATAAAATAATGGTGAGATGAAGGCTTTCTCAGACACAAAATAGCAGAAAATTTATCATCAGCTGAATCCTACTACAAGAAATCTTAAAGGAAGTTCTAGAATCAGAAGAAAAAAATGACACCTGATCAAATCTTAGATCTACTCAAAGGAAAGAACTGCAATGAAAATGGTAACTACATGAGTATCTAAATCAGATTTTTTAAAAAATTGCAATATTTTAAAAAATAATTGGCTATTTAGACAAAAATAGTAACAATGTCTTAGGTAGTTTGTAACATAGGCAGAAGTAAAACTTATAGCAACAATAGCATTAAGGCCTACAGTGAAGACATGGGAGTGTAATATTGGAGGTTATTTTGCTATATGTGAAGTTGTGTAATGTCACCTGAATATAGATGGTGATAAGTTACAAATGTATACTACAAAACCTAAAGCAACCTCTAAAATAACAAAACAGAGTTATAGCTAATAAGCCCACAAAGGAGAAAAAATAGAATCATTAAAAAATCCTCAATCCAAAACAAAGAAGAAAATGATAAGAAAAAGGAAACACGGTAAAAAAAAAATACATATCAAATAGCAAAATGATAAACCTAACCGTATCAATATCCACATTAAATTTAAATGTTCCAGTAACCTGAATTATAAGGCAGAAATTGCCAGATTGGATTTAACACTGCTTAAAAGAAACATTCTTTAAATACAAAGGCACAAATAGCTTAAAAGTAAAAGGATAAAAATGATATACCATCCTCATCAAATCAAATCAACCTAATTAAAGTAAACCACTGAAAGAAAGCTAGAATAGCCACATTAATATTAAGCAAAGTGTATTTCCAAACAAATACACTGTTTGCTCAGAGCATCTTGCATTAGTGTGATACATTTGTGACAATAAGCTCGTATTTATACATTATTATTAACTGAAGTCCATAGTTCACATTAAATTTCACTCTATGTTGTAAGTTGTATGCATAATGGCAGGTATCACCATTACAGTATCATAAAGAACAGTTTCACTGCCCTAAAAATCCCCTGTGCTCAGAGCTAAAGCAGTTCATTTCATAATGTAAAGGGGGGAGGTGAAGAGGATATGACTATTGTAAATGTTTATGTACCCAACAACAAAACTTCAAAATACATAAAGTAAAAATGGATAGAACTGCAATGAGAATCAGACATATCAAAAATTATAGCCGGAGATTTCAATACTCCTAGTTCAATAATTGGTAGAAGTAGACAGAAAATCAGTAAGAACAAAAAAACACGTGAATGACACTATCAATCAATTTGATGTAATTGACCTTTAAATAAAGAACATTCTATCCAACAACAGCACAATATAAATTCTCTTCTGAGACACACAGACATTTACTAATATAGACCATACTCAGAGCAACAAAACAAATCTCAGATAAATTTGTTTTAAATTCAAGTTGTATAAAATATGTTGTTTGATCATAATGAAATTAAATCACTAACAATAACATCTCTGAGAAATAACCAAGTACCTGAATACTGAATAGCACTCTTTTAAATGATCTGTGTCAAAAAAAAAAATTCAGAAAAAAATTTGAAGAAGGAAATTAGAAAGTTTTTTCAACTGAATAAGAAATGAACACACAATATATATGAATTTGGGGAGTGCCACTAAAAAAATAGGGAGATTTTATTGCTCTAAAAAACTTATATTAGAAATTTTTAAAAAAGTCTTAAATAGTGGTCTCAGCATCCATTTTAAACTGAAAAAGAGGATAAAACTAAAACTATAAGCAGAAAGCAAACAATGAAGATCAGAATGGAGATCAATAAATTATAGAACAGAAAGAAACAATAGAGGAAATCTATGAAACTAAAAGTTCTTTTAAAAAAATTGTTAAAATTGGTGTGTTTTTCACCAGAAAAGTGAGAGAGTTGGTAAATGACTAATACCAAGAATGAGGGAGATAACGTCACTTTATCTTCTACAGGTATTAAAATGATACTAAGAGAACATTAAGAAAAGTAGATGAAATAAAATATTTTTTGAGAAACACAAACTATCAAGACTCACTCAAGGAAAAACAGATAAACTGAATAGCCCTATATCTATTAAAGAATTTAAATTTATTGGTAAAAATTCTCTACAGTAAAATTCCTGGCTCAAATGGCTTCACTATTGAATTCTACTAATCCTTTAAGAAAGAAATAATAATTTTGGCCAGGCACAGTGGCTCATGCCTGTAATCCCAGCACTTTTGGGAGACCAAGGCAGGAGAATCACTTGAAGTCAGGAGTTCAAGACCAGCCCGGCCAACATGGTGAAAATCCATCTCTACTAGAAACACAAAAATCAGTCAAGTGTGGTGACACATGCCTTTAGTCCCAGCTACTTGGGAGACTGAGACAGGAGAATTGCTTGAACCCAGGAGGCGAAGGTTACAGTAAGCCAAGATTGTGCCACTGCATTCCAGCCTGTGTGACAGAGTGAGGGAGACTCCATCTCAAAAAAAAAAAAAAAGAAAGAAAGAAAGAATAAAAATTATAAACAAATTCTTCCAGAAAATTGAGGAGAGAGTATTTCCCAAATCATTTTATGAAGTTAGCATTACCCTAATACATAAACAAGACATAAGAAAACTAAAGACAAGTATCTCTTCTGACTATACATGTAAAAATTCTAAAAATTTAACAAATTGAATCCAACAACATATAAAAGGAATAATACATTATGACCACAAAGGCTTATATTCATAATGCAAGGTGAGTTTCACATTTGAAAATTAATCAGTGTAAACCATGTGATCATTTCAACAGACACAGAAAAACATTGATGAAACCCAACATCCACTAATGATTAAAAGAACTCTCAGAAAACCATCAGTAGAAAGGAACTTCCTCAATCTGATAAAAAGCAACTACGAAAATCCTGCTATAGCGAACATCATACTTGTCAAAGATGAAATGTTTTCACCCCCAAATGAAGAACAATATCAAAGTGTATGCTCTCACCACTTCTATTCTACATCGTCCTGGAGGTTCTATCCTGTGCAACATGACATGCTATAAGAAGATGTGCTGTGACCCAGACCTTCTTGTTTTATTTCTAGAGCATAGGCAAAGTAGATTTGTCATAATTAATTCTAAGAAATAATTTTAGAATTATTGAAATGGTAAATGAGCATTGACTTCATCTTAGTCATCAGCTGCATTAACCCTTAACAAGAATCAGCTTGTTTTTTGAAGCATTGAGGCTAGGCATTGACTTCTCCTCTCTAGCTATGAAAATCCTGGATGGCATTTTCTTTTAATAGAAGGATATCTTCTGTACATTGAAAATATATTGTTTAGGGCAGCCACCTTCATCATTGACATTAGCTGGAGCTTCTAGATAACCTGCTGCAGTTTCTCCATCAACACTTGCTGCTTCACCATGCATTTGTATGTTATAAAGATTGCTTCTTTCTTTAAATCTCAGTAGCCAACCTCTGCTAGCTTCCAGTGTTTCTTCTGCAGCTTTCCCACCCCTCTAAGCCTCCCTGGAATTGAAGAGAGCTAAGGACTTAGTTTGATTTAGGCTTTCGCTTAAGGCAATGTTGTGGCTAGTTTAATCATCTCTCCAGATCTTCTATCTACTCAAATTTTCTCCACACCACCAGTAAGGTAGTTTCACTTTCTTATCATTTGTTCGCTGAAGTAGCACTTTTCATTTCCTTCAAGAACTTTTCCTATGCATTTACAACTCGGCTAAATGCACAAAAGGCCTAGCTTTCAGCCTGTCTTAGCTTTTGATATGCCTTCATCACTAAGTTTAATCATTTCTAGATTTTGATTTAAAGTAAGAGATATGAGACCATTTCTTTCACATGAATACTTAAAGACCACTGTAGGGTTATTTATTGATTTAATTTCAGTATTGTTGTGTCTCAAAAAAAGGGATGCTTCAGGAGAGGGAGAAAGACGGAAAATGGCATGTCAGTGAGGTGGGCAGAGCACATATGACCTGTATTGATTAAGTTTGCTATCTTCTGTAAATGTGGTTTGTGGCTCCGCAAAACAATTACAATAGTAATATCAAAGATCACTGATCAATGATCACCGTAACAGATATAATGATTTTAAAAGTTTGAAATATTGTAAGCATTACCAAAATGTGACACAGAGACACAAAGTGAGTTCATGCTGCTGGAAAAATGGTGCTGATAGAGTTGCATGATGCAGGGTTTCCACAAATCTTCAACTTGTAAAAAACATAATCTCTCCGAAGTACAATAAAATGAGTATTTCATGTGAGAAACGCACATACAGCCATCCAGATGCAAAGAATGGACTCAGAGACACGAAGAACAGCAGAAGCGACTCTTTTTTTTTTTTTTTTTTTTTTTTTAAGACGGATTCTCGCTCTGTCGCCCAGGCTGGAGTGCATTGGCGCAATCTCAGCTCACTGCAACCTCTGCCTCCCGGGTTCAAGTGATTCTCCTGCCTCAGCCGCACTAGTAGCTGGGATTACAGGCATGCGCCACCACGCCTGGCTAATTTTTGTATTTTTAGTAAAAATGGGGTTTCACCATGTTGGCCAGGCTGGTCTTGAACTCCTGACCTCAGGTGATCTGCCCACCTCGGCCTCACAAAGTGCTGGGATTACAGATGTGAGCCACTGCACCCAGCCTAAGCAAGACTTTTGATGCAAGATCAGGCGCCTGTTAGGCAGGCACACCCAGGGCAGGTAGAGCAGGTAATTTATTGCCTAGCAAGCAAGTCCCTCCCCCAGTTCCTCATTGATTGAGTACTATGGAGTTACAATCTTCCTGGACATCGCCTAAGTTTCATTATCCCCCTTTTAAAGTTATAACCCAATCCCCTTCCCCACTTAAGTTTTGATTTCCCAGTAACAAAACTTTCTTCCCTTTTATGGGCTGACCCCTCGTCTACATTCTGTTTGCTTATCGTGACCTTCTAGGTGCATGAGCCATGCAATTTGTTACATCTGCAGGCTGGCTGCCAGTGCTTAGATTTATTATGCCTTGAAAATGGACCATTTAAAATGTTTTCTCACATTCGCTGCTGTCAATGTAGACCAACCGTGTGATCTCTTGCTCAATAAATAAGCCATGTGTGTGTAATCAAAGTAAAGTTGATTTCAGTTTTAAATAACTTCTTATAACTATAAGATGCTTTTCGTAAGCTTCATGGTAACCACAAAGTAAAAACCTATAGTAGATATGCTAAAAATATAAAGAAGTATGAAAGAAATTGAAGAGGACACACACACACAAAATGGAAAGTTATTTCATGCTCGTTGATTGGAAGAATTAATAGTGTTAAAATATCTATACTACTCAAAGTGATCTACAGATTCAAGGCCATCCCTACCAATGACATTCTTCACAGAAATAGAAAAAAAAATCCTTAACTTTGTATGAAACCACAAAAGACTCCGAAATGCTAAAGCAATCCTGAGCAAAAAGAACAAAGCTGTAGGTATCACACAGTCTAATTTCAAAGAATACAACACAGGTGTAGTACTGGCATACTATAGCATAGTACTGACATAAAACAGACACATAGACCAATGGGATAGAATAGAGAATCCAAATATAAGTCCATGCGCTTATACCCAAATCATTTTTGACAAAGGTACCATGAACACACATTCAGGAAAGGGCAAGCTCTTTAAAAATTAGTGTTGGCAAAACTGGGTATCTATATGCAAAAGAATGAAACTAGATCCCTGTCTTTAACTGTGTATGAAAATCAACTCAAAGTGGGCAAAATACTTAAACTAAGTCTTGAAACTATGAAATTACTGAAAGAAAACACTAGGGAAACACTATAGAAAATTAGTCTGGGCAAAGATTTTTGGGGTAAGGCCTCAAAAGCACAGGCAACAAAAGCAAAAATAGACAAATAGGATTACATCAAGCAGAAAAACTCTGCACAGCAAAGAAAATAAAAATCAGCAAAGTTGAAGAGACAACATGCAGAATGGGGAGACTATTAATATTTGCAAACTCTCCATCCAACAAGAATATAATGATGGATGAAACTGGAGGTTGCTATGCTAAGTGAATTAAGCCAGGCTCAGACAGACACACATTACATGTTTTCACTCACATATGGGATCTGGAAAAGTGGATCTTATGGAGGTGGAGAGTGGAATGGTGGATACCAGAGGCTGGGAAGCAAGGGGATGAGGAGAGGGGTTAAAGAGTAGTTGGCTGAGGGGTATAAAAATACAGTTAAATAGAAGGAATATGTTCTAACATTTGCTGGCACAGTAGGGAAATTATAGTTAATAATTTATTGTATATTTTTAAATTGCTAGAAGAAAAAAGATTTACTGTGCTCCCAACACAGGGAAAAGATTGAAGTGATTGATATTCCAATTACCCTGATTTTATGATTATACATTTTATACAGGTATGAAAACATCACATGTACCCCAGAATATGTACAACTCTTATATCACAATGAAAATATTTGATTAAAAAAATAAATAGGCCTGATTTTGTTTCAAAGTCATATTACCAGAGATTTTTTTTTCTTCTGATCTAAAAAGATGACAGATTTTACTGAATGAAGGCTAAAATGATTGCAGTGGACCCTACTGGCATCCCTGAATCAGATCCCCCAAGATCTGCGCGCTGGTTGCTAAGAACATGAACCTGCAGCCTTCAGAGGATTGCTTGGGCACTGGAACCATTCACAGAAACAAGAGTGGGAAATGCCTGGGAGTTCCATCCTCCTGAGGCCAGCCCTAAGCCAATGACAGACAGCTACAACAGGGGATCCCAGCTCCTCTGCATGACCGAGCATGTCAGGTGTGGCTGGGACTTCACCTGAAACCACACACCTGCTTTGCTGCTTCCCTCCCTGCCCTACTCACACTTTCCCTGCCTCTCAGGGGATTGTGTCCTTGCTCAGTCGCTTGAACCCAGCTCCTCCTTTTGGGGTCGAATAAGGAGAAGGGATGGGGAGTGTGCAGTTTTCTTCTGATCCCCGTTCTCTCTGAGCGAGCTGGGGTTCAGAGCACCACAGTGCTGTCCCTGCTTTGAGAAGATCTGGGCTCTCTGGGGAGAGCCTAACTTATGACACCAAGCACAGTACTTAGATAATACTCTGTCTTATAATGCAAATGTCAATCAAATTTAAAACAAAGTGTATTTTTTTTTTTGCCTGCATCTCAGGTTTCTAGCCCAGTGTCTGTTACTGCAACAAAGTTAGCAGTAGTTGGATGTAGAATGAAGATCAAGGCTGCACCCCTGTCTTCGGGGCTGACTATGGGCTCAGGAAACTCACATGGCCCTCTGAGAGATATATCGCCATAGACAGCAATGTTGGTGTCTTAAGTTATGGAGGCCTCAGGAACAAACAATGCTCTATTACAAAGATTAGGAGCTTTAATAAAACCCTGATTTGCATTTTTTTAAAAAACTATAGATAGTGGCTATAAATTCAAATGTGCATACATGTATATTCTGTAAAAGGATTAGAAGTTCTCCCAGAATGGAAGCTCTGTCTTTCTATATATTCAGTCTCAAAATATGTATTGAACACCTCTTGTGTGCCAAGTATTTTCTAAGATAATTTTTTAAAGGCTCACTGCACAGGCTATCTTTGTGGAATGAGTAATCGAATAAGGAGAAGGGATGGGGAGTGTGCAGTTTTCTTCTGATCCCCATTCCCTTTGAGCGAGCTGGGGTTCAGATCACCACAGTGCTGTCCCTGCTTTGAGAAGATCTGGGCTTCTTGGGACTGACCTGGAGGTTGGAGAAGCAAAAGTCACACAGGTTTAAAATTGTGACTACTAAGGTGTCCTGGTACTGGTGAGGGCAGTGGGTAGCTAGAGAGGAGAAAACTCCATGATATGTGGGTAAGTGCTGGGACTGAGGGGTTTCCTAGGACACTGGACATTGGGTGGTAACACTGGGAATGTCCCCGGTCAGTCACCCCATATTTTTATGGCTCCTGTGATCCCATCTAGTGTAGGCTGTACACCTGGTGGGAAGGCATTTCCCGTGTCTCCCGGTAAACAGGTGAACATCTTTTCTTCTCACTTTCCTGTCTGATACATGGAACTTGACCCCTTTCCTTGATTTCTATTAAAAATTATCCTACTTGAGTCATTAATGTTTGAAGCAGAGTCTGCGGAAGGTTTGGGGAGACAGAGTGATTTTATTGCAAAGAAACAAGCATCACACAGACAAAGGAGCTTAAATTGAAATCATTCCCCTGCTTAGGGGCACTATTCCTGTGACGGTAGACTCTCTCTGTTGACCAGTCCCTCTTTCTCCTCTGTCCTCCATCCTCCTCTTCTCCTCTCTGTCTTCTGCTTCTCACCATGCCCAGATTCTCACCAATGAGTTTGATTAGTTTGCCTATATCTTCATAGTCTTTTTCTAATCTATTACCGTAGACCTCAGCTCCCAGCAAAGGTTTACTTATGCAGGAGCCTTTCTGTACAAAGTCAGTTCCCTCCTCTCGGTGTAAGGATGTTGTTGCTGAGGTCAGTCTCTTGGGCGCCCTGAATTTTTGCCTAGTGGACCTCCTGCAGGAGGTGTGGAGTTGCTGCCTGGACCTTCACCTCATGCCGCTTGGGGATTACAGTGATGGGGGTCGCAGAAGATTTCAATACTTGGAAAAATCTCTCTGGTTAGATACAATAATGAAGAAATTCTCCAAGTTGGGGAAAAACGGCTAATGTTAAAAATGGAAACTGGAGAGGAAGGCTTTCATGAAAGACATGCTTTACTACAAAAATGCTCAGCATATCACAAGGTTAGCCCGACCTTAACAGTCCTCTTCTAAAGAGCTCACCTCTGCCTACTGGGAGATTTCCCTTGAGAAATTCACCTTTAGCTTTGTTGGTGTGTTAGTACCTTTTGAAACCATTTTCATGGCACATATTTGTCCAGTAAGTGATTAATTCTTTAAGTGAGGTGGTTAGATGATTAGACAATAAGTTATCTCTGTGGGTATCTTAGAAAATCATAGACTTATAAGATTTAGACCTTGAAGAGGTTCCCACCACAATGCCCTCATTTTAAATTTGAGGAAAACAAAGCTCTAAAGAAGTAAGGCTGGCACATCTAATTGGGACTATATTCATCAGTGTCTTACTTCCCTGGAGACAGATCTTCCCCAACCCTGGGGATCCATCTCTGGCTATTGGTAAGTGTGGCCTTACCCAACCTGCTTCTAGCAGACACTGTTGAATTTTCACCTACGTTAACTGATTCACCACAGTCACCCTAGGGGGCAGATGCTACCAACATCATCCCCATGGTATAGATGGTGAGAGGATTTGCTCACTGCCCCACAGTCAGGGAGTGGCCGAGCTTGGATTTGAACCCAGGGAGTTGGGCCTGCTAGGTAGGTTCTGAACACCAGTACCACCCTGCCTCTGAGCCTAGACATCAAGGACGTGGAAGTCCACTCTGCAGTCTTTCTGGGATGCTCCTATCATTGGAGTGTTTGGGCAGGCTGTCTAATCAACATCCTTCCCTAAACAATGGGAAGCAGGATCAGTGTTTCCCAAACTGCTTTGCAACTGTCATTTAAAAATTTACTAATGAAAAATTATTTTAATTGTCTCAGAGTTCTCAAGGCTTCCCAGAAAAATTGCCTTGCCTGAATTTTTTATTCATTTTTTGCAGTCAGAAAAAAAAATCTTCCTCGGCCCTTAGAGGACTAATAGCAGTTTGCCATCATCATAACTTTGCAGAGCCAGTAACTTTTCTTTCATGAAGCTATTTCCTATCTCATGATACCTTCAGGGGGTCTATTAACTATTTTCGATTATACTCTGGCCCCTTGGTATAGAGTGTAGTGTATTTTTTTTTCTTCACCCAGGCTGGGTGCAGTGATATGATTATAGCTCACTGCAGCCTCAACCTCCCAGGCTCAGGTAATCTCATCTCAGCCTCCCAAGTAGCTGGGACTACAATCACACACCACCATGCCCAGCAATTTTTTTGTATTTTTAGTAGAGATGGGGTGTTGCCATGTTGCCCAGTCTGGTCTTGAACTCCTGGGCACAAGGGATCTACCCATCTTGGCCTCCCAAAGTGGTGGGATTACAGGCATGAGCCACCTTACCCAGCTATGTATTGTTAAGGGAATGAATGTTTTCTTAAGTCAGGCGATGAAAGACGTGAAATGTAGGCATCTTAACTGTTTTCCAGAAAGATATGTTATGCAATTGATGTGTGTGTGCTGCAGTGTATATATTACAGTGAGATACTCTCAGAATGAGCCTGTTGACCGTGTGCCTTACTGACGTCCTCTTTCTGCCTTCCAGTTTTACGGGAGCCCTATACAGT
Source organism: Homo sapiens (assembly GCF_000001405.40). NCBI lineage: Eukaryota > Metazoa > Chordata > Mammalia > Primates > Hominidae > Homo > Homo sapiens. The sequence goes on along the minus strand of NW_025791814.1, from coordinate 832,588 downwards.
CCGTGTGGAGGACCAGAAAACCATGAGAGGCAATGTTGCGGTCTTCAAGTGCATTATCCCCTCCTCGGTGGAGGCGTACATCACTGTCGTCTCATGGGAGAAAGACACTGTTTCACTTGTCTCAGGTAGGCTTTGCGTCTCCAGGGTGCAGGACACCACGCTCACCTTCTGAAAAGGTTATTTCAGAGATGGAATCGGGTCTCCGTTTATGTGTTCATCATAATTCAGAATTAGTATTCTTAAGGCTGATGCTATTTTGTAAGTAAACCTGAAATAAGTGTTTTGTATTGGCTTATAATGGCTTGATTCAGACATCCTTTGGTGGGTTGACTGATGAAGAGAGATTAGTTACCGGCACTGTAACTGTAGCCATTGTGTTAACTTTTTTGAGAAAATTGTGGTTTTACGTCTGCTTCTAAAAACAAGGTAGTAGTATTTTGCATCTGTGAGAGACCTCAGCATTGCATATATAGCTGACATTCTGAAACTAAAATCTGGAAAATGGAAGCCCTGTTTTCATGACCTTTTGGTGCTTTCCAATGTCTTGAGAGTTATGTTGTATCTCTGACCTATTTCTTGAAGATTCTACTAAGAATATATATGTAGCAATGAAATGTATATTTGCATATGAATAATTTCTTGGCTTATATTTGGTGTGTAGAAAAGACAAAATTTAAATTTAGCCTCCAAGAAACTGCAGTTCTTCATTTCTAATGGTGTTGATTTCTTGCTCTGTGCTATTTACCTGGAAAGGCGACTGTCCGCGTGATGCATGGTGCTCCTGTTCTTACATCCTTGGATAATGACTGTTGGCATATCTCAAAATGTGTTGGCTGCTTTCGGAAAAGAATTGTGAGGAGCATAGTCTGTGTTCCGATGTGGATTATAAATAGTTGCCTTTTTTAGACATGTCTGTATGCCCTCACATGCGGGTGCACACACGCACAACACACATGTTAACAGACTTCTTGACTAAGCAACATTTTATCCATTTATAGAGAGCAGAATTTGGAACTAAACCCTCACGGTGACACACCGTTTTTGTTTCTCAGCTTATTGATTAGCTAGAGAGGTTGGTTACTGTACACCACCACCAGAGGCATTTAAAAGATCCAAATCAAAGTTGAAATACATTGCCATCATAGCACATTACAGGAATCTAGGATAGAATGGAATTCTTAGTTTTTATGAAAACATTGTCTTTACAGTGAATTCAAAACCCCTCACACTTCAATGAACAGTACATTCCTTGCTGTTATGTTGATTAATTATCATAATTTAACTTAGGGTGTTGAAAAATACTAAGCTTAATAACTCAAATGCGATTGTAATAATCAGAATAGAGACTCCCTTATACATTTTTATTTGCTAATTTTCAGTGTTGAAACATCTTCATCTTCTCTCCTTAGGGGTCATGTTAGTTGTCTTAATGGCAAATGGAAGGATTTGATGACAGTCATCTGGCTAAGCTCGGAATCAAAGGGGAGAGGCCCTCCAATTTATATGGCAAGGGAGTATAGGTTCAGGGAGTGGAAGAATTGGGAGCTACCTTTTCAATCTTCCGGACTCGGTGACCTAGGATAGAGACTTCACCATCTTTTAACCCTGTCATCCAAATTTTCAGCTTCATGGTCTGCTCTGGCAGAGGAAGAGAGCATGGGAGAATTACAAACGCCTTCTTAGTGCTTCCACTTGGAGGTGACACATGTTATCTCTGTTCATATTTAATTGGCCAAAGCAAGTCTCATGGCCATGCCTGACCTCAATGGGGCATGTGCCTGAAGGAAGAGGAGAACTGGAAATCTGGGTGAGAAATTGAAATATCTACCAGGAGGATTTTTTTAACTTTTATTTTAAGTTCAGGGGTACATGTGCAGGTTTTTTACACAGGTAAACTTGTGTCATGGGGGTTTGTTGTACAGATTATTTCATCACCCAGGTGTTAAGCCTAATACCCATTAATTATTTTTCCTGATCCTCTTCCTTCTCCCACCCTCCACCCCGAAGTAGGCCCCAGTGTGTGTTGTTCTTCTCTATGTGTCCCTGTGTTCTCATCATTCAGCTCCCACTTACAAGTGAGAACATGTTCTACCAGGAGGATTTTTGAATCTCTTTGGTTATGCATAATACGTGTGTTCTTTTGTTTTTAGACATCTTTAATTAGCAGCATCCTCATTGTTCTTGTTTCACCTTTTTGCAATCTCTGTGAACAGACTTTATTTTCCTTCAAATGTGAACCTAACTAAATAAAAAAAAGGAAATGTGTATCTAGTGAGGGGATGATGCTGGCATGCAATATAGAATTTATGCCCCTCTGATAGGAACTGTTAAAGCCCATGTCCTCTCCTCAGTCAGATACTGGAGCTTCATCCTTTCATACAATTTTAAATGCAAAAGTTTTGGAGAAGTGCTTGGTTTGTACTTCACAACAGCATCTAGAAAATAAATACAACACAGGTGTTTATCTTATTAAGGAATACATCAGTAAGAAGCTTTGGTTGGTTTGTAAGTAAATCACTGAAAGAAAGGGAGAGAGAGACTTCATATCAGGTCGTTCAACCTGAGTCGAATAGACTTGTCACTAAAAATGACCTTGTAAATGACAACAAGGCCCCAAAGCAGTGGCATGATCTGCTAATAGAAAGTCTGGAAATTGAGCATTTTACCTGACTTCTGTTGCTCACTGCTACAGTCAGACCCTGTTCCCAGTGTCTGAGCTCCACCCATCAGCAATGCCCAGAAAAGGAGGTCATGAAGTCACTGGAGGTGACGCATGGTTTAAAACATTGGAGATCTTAATAAATAAACCATGCTCAGGAGGTTTAGGTGGAGAAGGGTTATATTTCTCTCTGGTTACCAGCACAAGGCACAGATAAGGACAGAGGACAGCCTCCCTCCCCCATCACCCAGGCTGTGCCGGGGTGGAGGCCGCTAAAAGGAAGACCCTCCCTCCCTCCACACTGGCTGGGGCTGAGCCACTCCAGGGAAGCACTGGGATTCTTGGCTTCAGGGAACGACCTTGCATAGCACAGAAGTCCCAGGAACAGAGGGACTTTTTCTAAATTAGCCCTGACCTTCAGGGAAGCTGTCCTGAATGCCATATGCACAGCAGATGACCTGTAAAAGGTTAATTTGTCTCTGCTTTGTATATAAACTGTAACTCCTGCGAGCTAGTTTGGATTTATTCCTTGGCATGGCCATCTCCCAGGTCCCTCTTCCCGGATTATCAAGTCATCCCAGCCTGCTGGGATCTGGCTGGGAAGTTTGTTCCAGGAAGCATTCGTACTCTGCAGAGATCACTTCCTTCAGTGGTTGATTCTTTCCATGGAGAAAAGCGATTAACTAAATCAGCCATGGAAATAAGCCTGTGTAAGTATCTTACTAAGTGAGTGAGTTAGGAGCAGGTATGGGAGTGCCAGAGAGTTGACCTAGGATAGCTGAGAGCTGATGGCAGTCAAGAGAGGGCCCAAAAGCATGATTCACAGGCCATGGCCCAACGTGCCCCACTGGGCTCAGGGCGAAGTGTGACCTGTCAGCCTGGGGGATGCTTAGCTGCTCAGCCTTGACTGTTGGGAGATCCCCTGGGAAGGTCGGAGCAGCAAAGACCTGCTTCTAACAGATGAGCTTTGGGTTTCTGTGAATCTCTAGGCCAGGGGACCTTTGGAAATCCTGGTGAAGGTAAATGGGTATTTGTCTTCTACAAATTCTTTTTTAATGAAAAGCAAAATTAAAGATGTTTGTGTATTTCCCTAAAAAGAAGCAAAATGGTTTCTATTAGTATGTCTCACTAGGTTTTGCCCTTTATTTTGGTTAAGAAAACAAATGAGTAGTTTATTTTCCTGAGAAGCACAAATGCAGTGTTTGTCAGGGTTTAATGAGTGTTGTGCATATTGTCATGGTTCCTTTTGGGAGCTTACTGCACATTAGGGCCTGCATTGATTTCTTTCCAGGACAGGCTTCGGTTGGCCTGAAGGTAGACGCAGGAATCAAGTTATGCCTCTTCATCATATGAGGCCATGAGGCTACCATTATCAAGGACATTAATGAGTTCATTGATTTGGAGTGACCTTTGGAAAGAATACCCCAACAGCTGAAAAGTAGAAATCCCATAATTCTACCAAATGGAGGAAAGATTCATAATATCTGATGTTGCTTTTCTGCCTGCCTGAGCTCTTCCCTGGGCCCTGGGGCCTTACAGGGTGACCCTTCCCTCTGGTATGATGGATGGGGGTGGGGTCGTAAATGTGCAGAGGAAAAGCATTTCAGAGACAGGCACACAAGGTGCCATCAGATGACCTCAGTTAATATGACAGATCCTGACCTATTGTGTTCTTACCTCCCTAAAATGAGCCAGGAAGAACAAGAGTCATGATGTCTATGTGGATTTTTTTAGACATCCTCATCACTTATCCTAAGCTGCAATGAAATCCTTTTAAATGCCATAATATTAATGTAGCCCAGTAAAAATATAGTAGCTTGAATAATGACATGCTTTTGGAGGTACTGCTGATGTGGAGATACATAAAACACCATCCTGGAAAAAAACAATAACACCGGCTTTATATTTGGGTTTCCCTTCACAAGCCTGTTGTGAATTTCCTCCCGATTAGGGAGGCCAGCAGTAAGAGAGCCCAGCCTTCCGTTTCTGTTTCTTCTGATAAAATTGTGAGAATCTCACCAGGGGTTTAGCTACATTAACATCAAAGACACAGCCCAGGGGTAACCGGATTTGGAAAATGGAAAAAGCAAACATTTTACTATTCCCAGAGAAACTGCCTCCCTCTTTAGCAGTGGCCCAATTTTCTGCTGTAATATTTCCTATCTGAATACCTCTATTAGTGATGATTCAAGGAGAATTTTACCTCTTAGGATCATTGAGTTCAGGTCGAAGGATGATTATCTTCTTTCTGTATTTTGGCTAAACGTGAACAATTTTCTGCCCACATGAAATATCAAAGGACATAAACCAACCACTTTACATGAAACATTGGCTGTAATTCTTCACTGCCACAACTGGGTCTGGGCATCATAGATCACGCAAGACTTGGGCTTTAAGAAGCACTCCCTCCCCAGGCCCCTGCAGAGATGGTTTCTGCTGTTGAGATGCTTGGGGAGATTCCTGCACTGTCCCTCTTGGGGTGTTAAGTGCTGCAGTAGGCGCTTAGGGCCTGAGGCTGTAGCTACACACACGGTTTTGCCTGGGGAAGTAGAGAAGGTTTCAGAAAGGAGGTTGTGATTTAAGAAAACCTTTGCATTTTAGAGAGGGGAAAAGAGATTATAGGTACAGCCAACCAAATTAGACAAGGCTGCCCTTAAGCACGTTTCAGCAAACCAGAACTAAGAGCAGATTGGATGCCGTATTCTCATGTGGGGAGGGAGGGAGAGCTAGCACAGCTGTCGGGGGGACCTGAGGGTCATGCTGTGGGGGGCCTCTGCTTTGTGCACTCTTGACTATAGAAGTTAACCTTCCCTTTCTGTGGCACTTCTATTGTGATTTTATTGCTCCTCACTGAGCATTTTCCAGACATCTGCTATGCTGTGGCTGCTATCTTGCGGAGACCTGAGTCTGCCCTCAAAGAGCTTATGAGTAAAAGGAATGAGATAAACATTAAAATAATGTGAAATTTAAAAAAAACCTAGAGTCACCTGAAAGCCTCATCTTTGATTTTAAAAGTGCCAGAGAGTTGCAGAATTAAAGAAGCATTTCTTTAACATTCACTGAAAAGAAATTCGTGGGACCAAATGAAAAGTATAAAAGGAACATTTTTCTGTCTGTTATCATCTACCTAGCTATCTGTCTTTGTATGTATCATCTAATCTTCTATTTATATTGCTTTTAGTAAATAAGAACCTCATTTTAAACACTGGAAAGTATTCTCAGCTCAGAACGTGCACATCAGACTGGAATTAGAAAGGCACAGAGATGTCATGTTTTTACCATGCTATATTTTTGGGAGTGAATTAACTGAGAAATAGGAAGAGAGGGCCCTGGTCTCTTTCTTTTTAAAAATCATTAATTATGTTATACTTTTTCCATTTAAGTCTATCGCTCACTAAATTAGGTTTTGCATGTTACCCCGCTGCCACCTGAAAGTAATTAAAAGCTGGTTGTTTACAGCTCTGGAGAGCCCCTGTGTGACACCAAGAATGGGGGTCGTGTAAGGCGAGGGGCACAGCCTGAGTCTCCAAACAGCTGCCAGCAAGGCTCCAAAGCAGCCACAATAGCAGCTAGTCTGCAGGGCCTCAGCCTGCCAGGAGGAGACCTGCACCCATTCTGAAAGCTGCAAACTGTGTATTGTGGAGTACAACCCAACACAGAGAAGTACGCTTTTGACTTTTGAACTACCAAAACAAGTAGATAGACACATAGAGATAGGTATGTTAATATTTTTTCTTTAAAAAAGAAAACAAGAAAAGAAAGCATTGGGGCAAATTTAGCCCAGAGGATATCAGGAGGGGTGTGTGTACATGTGTGTGATGTGCGTGTCCACATATGTGTGTGGTGTTTGGTGTGGTGTGTGCATACGTGTGTGTGGTGCATGATGTGTGTTTGTATGTGTGTGTAGTGTGTGTGGTGTGTGTGTGGCATGTGGGGTGTGTACTCTGTGTATATGTGGTGTGTGTGTGTGCCGTGTATGGTGTGTGAGCTCTGTATGTGTGTGGGGTGTGTGTGTGGAGTGTGTGCTGTGTGTGGTGTGTGAGCTCTGTGTGTGTGTGTGTGTGTGTGGAGTACGTGCTATGTGGTGTGTGTGCTCTGTATGTGTGTGTGTGTGATATATGCAGGGGGTGTGTGTGATGTGTGTGCTCTGTATCTGTGTGTTGTGTATGTGTGTGTAAAACCTCATTTGTTGGGCCACTCAGTCACACTAAAATCCCCCTTGATTTCCTATTTTAAGTTTCTGGAATATGACTTGATTGCAGCGCTGACTCAGGTTAGCTGGGTGGCCTAGGGAAAGGCGTTTCTATCTCTCTCTGTTTTTGTTTTTGTTTTTGTTTTTGTTTGCCTCAGTTTCCTCCCATGGATATGCAGTGATTTCTCTAGTCCTCTCCCACAATACAATGCCAGGATATTAAAATTCCAAATTGAATATTCCACTTCTTAAGCCAACTGCTGTCAAAGTTATTTTTTCACTTTCTTAGATTTAATCTTGCAGGATGTTACATGCCCATGTCAAAGGTCCCCAAGCCCACCCTCAGGTTTGGTGATCTGCCAGGAAGACTCAGCATGTAGCTGCATCCATGGCTGTGACTTAATACAGGAGAAGGCTATGGAGCAAAAGCAGCAAAGGCAAAAGGCACATGAGGTGACATTCAGAGGAAAGCAGGCCCCAGCTCTCAGGGGTCTTCTCCCTGTGGAATCACTAGGAAGCACTTAATTTCTCCAGCAATGAGTCATGATAAGAGGTGCAATGTTGTCTACCAGGGGAGCAGGAGAGCTCCTGGAGACTCAGTGGCCAAGGTTTCCTTTGGGGGCAGGTCACGTAGGCACCCTGGTATGTTTGGTATGTGCCAAAGTTCCAGACTCCCCAAGGAAGGCAGGTGCTCATCATGAACTGTATTGCTTATGCAGTTCAGGCAGTGAGCCACTCTAAGGGTGGTGGGAACGCTGCCAATATCCTAGTTCCCAGATACCAGCCAAGGGACAGTCCTGCAAGCAGCCCTTCATAAGACTGACAGTCTCAGACCTACTGTGTTAACTCTTCTCTGTGCCATGCAACTTTTTAAATGATGTTGGCTCATCTTCATTTTCATACATTCAACGATCACTTTGCATATGCTCATCATGAAATGCTGGAGAAAGCAAATGAAGAAAATCTATGCTTTATGTACTTTATTGCCTTGTACCCAAGTATTTCAAGCCTTAAGAAAGGTCTCATCCCAAATTATTTTAAGGTCTGAAAACACATTGACTCATACTCTTCCCTTGCTCCACCTAAGTGTAAATGGAGTTCATTTTATATTCTGCCATTAAGGATCTTCTGCTTTCTCTCTCTCCCCGTGATGTTTGGTTCTTTCTAGACATGGGAAACAGATGGCCAGCTAAGTCAATCAGATGTAATTTGGACACAAGCATATTCTCTGGTCTGTTGTTCATCTAAGAGTTTTCATTTCAGGAAAATTCAAGAGAATAACAGGATCATTTAGGAAAGAATATTGTGTAGTGATAACCATAATGCTGTTAGATTATTATTATTATCGACAAGCTAAAATAGATGTCACAAATCAAGATTTGCTTAGACAATGTGCCACAGTATAAGAAAACAGGATTTGAGATTGAGAAATATAATTTTTGACTCAGAATAACTTGCTAGCTACTCAAGAAGTCAGTGTGAACTCAAGGTATTGTCGAGCAGAGATAAAGGTGGGTTGGACCAGGCTTATGGTGCTGTGTCCTTTGCTCTGGGCTGGAGCAGGTGGAGGAAGGTCTCCTTAAGCAGATGGGTTGCTTGGCCTCCAGAAATCCCTCAGGCGGAGCTACCATGGCTGTCAGCCCTTTGTGGCTGTCCTTCTGAGCAGATGGGGCAGGATGGAGTAAACCATCCAGCAGCCCAGACTTCCTCTCTCCTCAGCAACCGCGTCACCTGTGGAATCCTCAGTCTAGGAGCCACCCCGCTTCCCTTCTCCACCGTCAGCCTGTGGAGCGTTCCTGCAGACTGGGCACATTGAGCATTTATGCCAGTCCGGTTTCTTTTTTCTTTTTTCTTTTTTTTTGATGGAGTCTCACTCTGTCACCCAGGCTGGAGTGCAGTGACGCGATCTCGGCTCATTGCAACCTCTTCTCCACCGAGTTCAAGTGATTCTCCTGCCTCAGCCTCCGGAGTAGCTGGGACTACAGGCACCTGCCACCACACCTGGCTATTTTTTTTTTTTTAGTAGAGACAGGGTTACACCATGTTAGCCAGGATGGTCTCGATCTCCTGACCTCGTGATCTGCCCGCCTCGGCCTCCCAAAGTGCTGGGATTATAGGTGTGAGCCACCGTGCGTGGCCCGGTCTTAACCAGCTCTTCACTGATTGTCTGGATGCTCAGGTGTTTTTGCGCCCGCGTCTGTATAGCTGAAGAGGTCTTTCCCAAGCTTTTTCTCAGCATCCTGGAGCACCCCATTCTCAACTCTGCTGCACCTACTCTCCAGTGTTCAAAGGATCGTAACTTTTCACTCTGCAGGGGCTGAGAACAGCTTTCTTCAGATGACCCTTTCTACCTCCTTCATGGCTCAGCCCCACGTTCTCTCCCACAGGAAGAGCTGTCCTCTTTCCTTCCAGCTTAGCCTCCCACCGTGCTGCCCTCCTGGTCCCCTTACCTGCTCCGGCGTTCTAGGACCTCTTTTCATCAGCTGTGCCCTCTGTTGCTTCAGACAGCTTCTCTTTAGTAATTACCGTATTTCTTGTGACACAGGTGCTCAGGTCCCCCAGTTTTAAAGAAACCTTTCCCTTTGCTAACTTCCATACTTCTTTCTTTCTCTGTCTTTACTTTCTTCCTTCCTTCTTTCTTTTTTCTTTCTCTCTCTCTGTCACACACTCCTTTCATTCTTTCTCTTTCTTCTGGCAAACTGTTTGAGATAATAGTTTATAGTAGTGAGTATTTTGGGCTTTGCCTGTTACAATCTACTGAAATTCACTACTTCAAGATCACCCATGACTTCCAAATGTTAAATCCCAAGGCTGTCTCCTGGTCCAGTTTCTCTCTGACCTCCCTGTTAGATGTACACAGTTGACCTACTTCCTCTGTTGGTTCCTGTATTTGGCAGCTCTGGACGCCAAAACAAAATATCACACACTGGGTGGCTTAAACAACAGCAATTTATTTCCTTATAGTCCTGGAGCCTAGAAGATTGAGATCAGGCTGCCAGCATGGTCAGGTTCTGATGGGGGCCTCATCCTGGCGTGCAGATGGACGCCTTCCTGCTGTCCTTACATGACTGACTTTCTCATGTTTCTTCTTGCAAGGACACTAATTCTATCCGATTAGGGGCCACCCTTATGACCCGATTTAACCTTAATTACTTTCATACTCCAAATTACTTCTCTTAGTAATTACTGTATTTCTTGTGACACAGGTGCTCAGGTCTCCCTTCCCTTCCCTTCCCTTCCCTTCCCTTCCCTTCCCTTCCCTTCCCTTCCCTTCCCTTCCCTTCCCTTCCCTCCCCTCCCCTCCCCTCTCCTTCCCTCCCCTCCCCCCCCCCTCCGCTCCCTTCCCCTCCCCTCCCCTCCCCTCCCTTCCCCTCCGCTCCCTTCCCCTCCGCTCCCTTCCCCTCCCCTCCCCTCCCCCTCCGCTCCCTTCCCTTCCCTTCCTCTTTCTTTCTCTCTCTTTCTCTTTCTCTTTCTTTCTTTCTCTCTTTCTCTCTCTCTTTCTCTCTTCTACCTTTATTTTCTTCCTTCCTTTTCTTTCTTTCTTTCTTTTTTCTTTTTCTTTCTCTCTCTTTCTCTCTTTCTTTGGGGTTAGGGCTTCATCATCTACAACTTTAGGGGACACAAGGCAGTTCATAGCAGTTGCTCTCCTTTGGTTTGTATCCAACTACACTGCCTGGTTGATCTTCTCTCTGAATATTTCGGTGCTATCTCTTTCCTTCAGTTTGCATCTTCCCCTCTCAGAAATGTATGTCAATCTAAAAGTCCAATCCCATCCACTTTCTGTATTGGTCATTTCATCATCTTCCAGGGCTTCATCCATGACTTGCACCTGTGTGACCCCAACTTCGGACCTGCCTTCTCTCCTGGTCCTGCTTATTCACTCCCCCGCATCCCTCTGGCCACCTCCAACAAAGGAAACCTTCCCCATGACCACAAAGGAATTTCCCTTTGATTTATTCATTTATTTTTCAATATCATGACTGTATTAGTTTCCTAGGACTACAAAAAAAAAATACCATGAACTGACTGGTTTCAAACAATAGAAATTTATTTCCTCACAGTTCTGAAGTCTGCAAATCCAAAGTCACAGCGTCAGCAGGGCTGTGCTGACTCAGAGGGCTGCGGGGAGGGTCTCTGTCAGTACTCTGGGGAGGGTCCCTGTCAGGCCTCCCAGCACCTGGTGTTGCCTGCGGTCCTTGGCTCCTTGGCATCCTTGACTTGCAGAAGTCTCACTCCATCCAGTCCCTCCCTCTAGCGACATGTGACTTTTGCCCTGTGTGTGTCTTTGCATTTCTTCTCCTCTTCTAATAAAGCCAACAGTCATATTGGATGAAGGGCCCACCTTATTTCAGTATGACCTCATGGTAACTTAAATGATTACATCTACCACAACCCTGTTTCCAAATAAGGTCACATTCTGAGGCTCCAGAAAGGACATTTTTGGGGGAAGCTATTTAACCCACTATGATTACAAATTCTTCCAATTCTTTATTTGCCCTCTCTCACACATTTTATATCTTTCCATCTCCTGCTGGACACACAGTAGACAACTGATAAATATATACTCAATGAGATTCTTAAAAAAAAAAAAAAAGCATTTTTAAGGGAAGGAAACAAAAAGCAGACAGCCCCATCAGGGTAGCCAGGAGTGCTGGTGTGCCAGGTCCTGTGGGTCCCTGCAGCCCTGTCCCCGGCGGCGCCAGCATCCAGCTGGCAGCCACACCACCAGCTGCCGCTGTCCCAGCTGCAAGTAGCCTGGTCTGTGTCAGAACGGGCTGGGGGCCAGTAGGGGACAGGATCCAGGCAGTCCTGGACCAAGCACAGGGGCGGCAGGCAAGCTGCTTCACCTGCATTTCAGATCCTCACTTTCGGGTGCCACGGTTTATTGGGCATCTTCAAGTCCTGTGTTTCCTTCCTCAAAAGGAAAAGGGGGAAATTTGTTAATGGACAAACGACTCATCAGTTTCCCAAGTGATTAGTAGTCTGAAAACATGTGCATGAAAAAATTGCCTCAAAAGTTACCCTTGATTACAAAATCAATTCCAAACAAACTGAATTTTTATTGGATAAACTGTCACCTGTGGTTGAAACTTCAACAACTAGATTCTATTTGCAAAGTTGTATTGACTGTCCAAGGCTCATGTATGGGGGAAGTAATGAGAGTATTTACAGAATATTTCAGTGTGTGTAGTTCCTGAAAATACAGTTATTCCAAAATTAATTCCAAACTAACTGAATTTTTATTGGCTAAATCGTCACCTGTGGTTGAAACTTCAACAACTAAATTCTATTTGCAAAGTTGCATTGACTCTCCAAGGCTCATGTATGGGAGAAGTAATGAGAGTATTTACAGAATATTTGAGTGTGTGTAGTTCCTGAAAATACAATGATGCTGCTGAAAATATTGGCTGTCCAGAATTGGACTTTATGAGCAACAGAAAATCCACAGCACACACTGCTCTGCAGTAGAGCAGAGTCAAAATGTTCTTTGAAAAGAAGCTATAAACAGATACAGTAAATAAGCAAAAATACACAGATCCTGTGTGCTCTTAGAGGTGGTTTCAGGTTTCTGCATGTCTTTCATTTTGCCAGCAGCGCACAGCAGGGCTTGGGTTTGCACTCAGAGGAGCCTGGCTTTGGGTCCCTACTGCACAGTTGTGAGACCTTCCATAGTTAAATACCTCTCTGTGGACCTGGGTACTGTGTTTTTATAAAGATGAAGAGTGCCATAACTGCAGTTTCAGGCCAAGTGAGGTGCTCCATGAATTGGAACATAGCTAAGTAATTCTGGACCTCTAGGTGTGCATTTCTCTATAGAGCCTGTAGATAGTGTGGAGCCTGAAGCCAGTGTCTAGGTCCATACCCCATATTCAACCTGGACCAAGTTACGTAACCTTGAGTTAGTCATATAACCTTGCTATGCCTCAATTTCCTCAACTGTAAAATGGAAATAGGAATAAAAATAACATTATAGTAAGATTGTTATAAGAATTAAATGAATTAATATAGGTAAAGTTCTTAGCACAGTGCTTGACATTAATGTTTGTCATTGTCCTTCTTCTTCTTATTATTATTATCATTATCTTCTGTCTAAAGTGTTTGTATCCCAGAAACCAGAAGGTCAGGACACCGTGGTTTCAAAACAAATAGGCCGTTGTTTGTGTGAGGCTTGTTAGGAAGTAAAAGAAAAGTAGTTCTATTTAAGAATTGCTAAAATGCAAGGTATGCTGAAGAAGTCATGGGGAAATAATCCAAAATCCTTCAATTTCAACATAAAAGCATTAGAATGCTATTGAACTAATAGTCTGTAGGATTTTAAAATAAACAACTCTTTACTTATTTATTAAAACGTTTATTTTTCTTAAATAGCAAAAGTATGATATAAAATGACAATAAGGCAGAATGAAAGGATCTTATATTTTGCCTTAACCATCACAGCTAAATCAGAGTATGTATTTGCAGTAAACATTAGTATTTACATTAAAATACTTGTAGCACATGTCAGTTATTGAATAGCTAACAATTCTATGGCATGCACATGTCAGGTTATACCTAAAAACTTCTCGACAACCCCATTAAGTAATTGCTTTTGTCGGCCCCACTTTACAGATGAGAAGGCTGAGGCAGAGAGAGCTTCAGTAAGTGACCCAAGGTCCTTTCTTGAAATTCTCCCTCTCTAGAAGATAGAGATTTTGCCTTTTCTTAAACTTTCTTTCAGTTTCCCATATTATGTACGTGCATAAGAGCCAACAAATATTGTCGACTGAATGATAACATTACCATTCCAGACACATAGTAGAAGCTTAATACATGTTTATGGAGTGAATCTTGAATAAGAAACTTTTCCATGAGAGTGGTGGTGTTATTTCCTTTTAAATTCTTCTTAATGCTTTAATAAGAGCTTTTGCTTTTCTATATTTTTTTCTACTACTCTAAAATCAAATTTCACATCAGCCTCTCCTCCCAAGGCAAAGAGTGCCTGTGTTGGCCAATCAGGGGCAGCCTGGGATTTCATAGCTGACATCTCCTACGTGATGCCGTTCTGAGGGAAATCGACATTTCAAATTCCCAGTATTTATTATTCCCAAAACAAAAGCTGTCTTCTTTTATTTTCATGAAATGATTTTATTGTTGGAACCACCTACAGCTTTACACTGCAGCATTTGTTAAAAAGCAGGACAGTGCAAGTCAAGGCGAGGCTGACATGCCGAGACCTTCAGAGGCGCGTTACAGCATTTCCTGATGCACTGAATCCATAGCCACACCACGAGCCTCAGACTTTACTTTCAGTTTTTTATCTAAAGGGTTATACACATTTGGTGAGCACAGAGTGTCAACCTGCCATGGATAGCTTTTGTGTGTGAGGGCATGTTGTTTCAAATAGTGATCAATATGCTTCACCAATTTATGATGATGGATCTAAGAATGGTAGAATTTCTGTGTGGAGAAGCTTCAGGGTGTCTTTTTGAGCTGGATACTGGAGCCCTGGAAAGGTTACATGGGGGAAAGGGATGGCAAAAATGACAGCTGCTGAGCCAATCAGATCACCCACACGCGCCCATATGAGGATGTAAATATCACCTAGATCAGCCTCCCATCTCTATCACTGGCTCCGATTTCTCATCGGAGAATTATTTTATAGATGAAGAAAGCACCCAGATGTGAAAAGTCACCTGAGCAGTGAATGGCGGTGCAGGGACTCCAACCTGGGATTTTGTGGTGGTTGTGTCTGCACTAGTTCTGTGTTCAGTTGAAAATTTCTCCATTACTGTCATTTAAGCACTTATTCTGGATAAGGCAATGCTTTTAAAGTTGCCATTTTAAAAATTATATGACCTGTTTTAAAAAGACACAAAAGAGATAGAAACACGCCAGATATAACCTAATTATAATCAGTAGGCTTATTATACTGAAGGAATTACAAAGACTTATTTTTCTGAAAGAAGTTCATTGAAAACTGTACTTCCCAAAATGATTCATTTTGAAATAAACTTATAACTGAGCTTTACTTCAATATCAAATATTTAAAATATACTTTAATGCAAATAATATGTTGTATATCTGAAAATGTTTACCTGTAATTTCTGAAAAAAAAGTATTATATATAAATATTGTCTTAGATTGTTTGGGCTGCATTAACAAGTTACCATGCATTGGGTGGCTTATAAACGACAGAAATTTATTTCTCAGAGCTCTGGAGGCTGGGAATTCTAAGATCAAGGAGGTGGGTAGATTTGGTGTCTGGTGAGGGTTCTCTTCCTGGTTCATAGACAGCTGTCTTCTCATTTTCTCACATGGCAGAAGAGGCGAATGGTGTCTCTGGGGTCTCTTTTTAGAAGGGCCCTAACCTCATTCATGAGGGCTCCACCCTCACGACCTAATCACCCTCCAAAGGATCCACCTCCCGATAGCATCACATTGAGGTTTAGGTTTCAACATATGAATTTTGGGAGGCAGGGAAATAGATCTTCAGTCGATATACATATTTTTTTAATAGATGGAAATATCCTTAGGCCAATGTTTCTTGACTTTTTGGGGGGATCATGGACATGTTGAGTAAGTAATAAAAGCTATGGGGCAGTGGATCTTCAGAAGAACACACCAGTATCGAAAGCTGCAACAGTCCAGGCCTTTTTTGCTTCCTTTCAACCTTGTGACTATCTGCATTCCCTCACCCCCCGGCTCCCACTTGTCCTTACCCAGATTAACCAGGGATTCATACTCCATTAAAATGCCTGATATAGATGTTGGATCGTGTCTTCCTTTTTTTCAACCTAAATTGCATTTTGAAACCTTCAGCCACACTCTTTTCTCTGATCTCTTATTTGTCCTGGTTTCCTCTGCTTCTTTTTATGCACACATTTTTTTTTATCCTCCTATGCCCATTGCATTGTACCAGTATCTTTCACTACAATTGTTCTTGTACCAGGAAAAGTAAAGGGTTTTTATAAAAAGCCTTCATCAAGTCATTTTCAAACTGCAGATGATACTAGGAAAGAAAGGCCATACTGAGATTCCCCCCCGGCTAATTAGATGGTGAAATTTTTAGTTCTCAGCATTGTTATCTGTTTGAATTGAAACCCTATCATTGAAAAAGCCAAATGAACTTGAAATTGAGGAGGGCCATTTCCCAAAACGGAACGCAGCCAGGCTGAATCCCTCGGTGGAGAGCCAGGGAGCACGAGGCCCGGATGCACGTGACTCGTTTCCACAGTTCTGATTTCCAAGCGAAGTAATTTGTTCTTTAAAAAAGTTATTCTAGGATTCAAGACTTTAAAAAAAATCTGTATTGCCAAATGCTTACCATGCATGATGAAATATTGAAGAAAGGTGTATCTCAGCCTTGCAGGTAATTTTTAAATGATCCACAAGGATTTATTCAAGGTCAGTAAATTCTGTGTTCGAACTTTCCATGTCAGTCTGTGTCCCACACTGTGTCCCCATCAAGTCAATTCCTCTGATGCTGAATCTACTCTATTCCTTGCCTCTAAGTAAAAAAATTTTTAAAAATTAAAAAACAAAACAAAACAAAAAAACAAGCAAACAAAAGAACAATACGGCAATCGAAGTCTCAAGCATTTCCTCTTTTACTGAATTCGACACAATTCCATCGCTAAGTAGAGAAAACCTGAACATCCTATTGCTGGCCGTGCCTCCCAGGGTTCTCCAGTAAACCTTTTCCATGAAAGCCTGAAGTCCATTTCAGATGCAAAACATGCAGAACCTCTGGGCTCCGCGAGGCCTGATGCATGACTTTGATAGGACTCTGCACATGCTTAGTTGATGGTCCTGAACATGTGTATTTTCCTGAATTTCTTGTGCTTTTTTTACTGGCTTTGACTTGTTGACATAAGATGAATGTTTCTCTCTTGTTTTATCAAAATATTTAAGTGTTTTTAGTTTTGTATTGAGATTTTTAAAAACAAAGCTTTTCTTGCTAGTAAGGATATGGATGATTACTTTCTTTTCAAGAAAAATGGTGAAACTGGAAAAGTAATTTCATGTATTTAAAATATACACTTGTTGCATAGTTATTGATCAGTTTATAAATTTTACACCTTTTTGGTGGTGGGAAAAATATATTCATAGTGACTTCTATCTTAAATTCTGGATCTAAGACGATGCTGCTTTTTACTAATAGTGGCTATAGAGTATATGTGTTCTTGTAAAATGGTTATGCAGAAGGAGAATAGGAAGGACTATAGATATGTGATTAAAGATATTTCTCTTTTGAAGGGTTAGTTAAATTGAGGAGGCGGCACGAGGGACAAACATTGTAAACTCTGTGTAACAGCAAGGATATTCAAGGTGACAAGGATCAGAACCTCTGTGAAGGTTCAGTAAAATTATTTGTGCACATCAGGTTATTATATAGGATGTAAAAATCCAGTTTTATGGCAAGATTTATTTGTTTATTTGTGACTAACATATACGACCTGAATTTAAAAACTAGAGGCAACACTCATAGCAATTTAGAATGCAGCTTTTCTTGTGATTTAAATTGGACTTATTTTTCTTTAGTCTCCAACCCTTTCTTAGAAGAATTATGGTGGAACAGAAGCTGTAAATTAGGGACAGTTATTTGAACCTAGTTACAGAAACGAAGTTATTGGCGTGGGGATTCTATAGGAGGGACTCTACATTGGATGGAAATGAAGGAATAACTGGAAGAAGAAAGGAGCAAATAGGCCCAAGTATACATTTCACTGTGTGAACCCATAATTCTCTCTGATAGCTGCATGATTAATTCAAAGATTTATTGATTTTTCCCTTCTCTACTCCAGCCTGCTGACCTGGTTTTGTTGACAGGTTTGTGTGGATCAAGCCAATCTGACAGATGAAAGTGTGCTACCATATTAGTCCCCGTGGTCTGGGGCAAATATTTTATACAGTGTCCTTATCAACAGTAACCGAACACATGTGAGGCATCCGTCAACACTCCTTCCCATGCCATGCCATGAAATAGACTCAGAGATGCCAGCCCCACAGCAGAAGCAGCTGGGATTATTCGTTTTAATGAACATGCATCGTGTGTACGTGTGTGCGCGTGCATGTGTGTGTGTGTGTGTTTATATAATGAGGTGGGAGTGTGGAAGTTATGGCATTTTTACTCTTAGTAACAAATATTAACTGACAGTTAGCTTTTAAAAATACCTTTATGGGCCGGGCGCGGTGGCTCACACCTGTAATCCCAGCACTTTGGGAAGCCAAGGCGGGTGGATCAGGAGGTCAAGACCATCCTGGCTAACACGGTGAAACCCCGTCTCTACTAAAATACAAAAGATTAGCCGGGCGTGGTGGCAGGCGCCTGTAGTCCCAACTACCCGGGAGGCTGAGGCAGGAGAATGCCATGAACCTGGGAGGCGGAGCTTGCAGTGAGCCGAGATCGCGCCACTGCACTCCAGCCTGGGAGACAAAGCGAGACTCCGTCTCAAAAAAAAAAAAAAAAAAGAAAAAGAAAAAGAAAAAGAAAATACCTTTAATGATACCTGAGATTTACTTCAAAACAATCCATTGCCAGGGGTGAGGTTGTAGCCTGAATTGATAATTTCTGAAGCTGGGGGATGGTACATGGAGGTTTATTATACTCGTTATATCCTTCATGTGTGTTTAAAATATTCTATAATGAAAAGTTGAGGAAAAACACCTATAAGACAAATCATATTTTTTACTTGAAACTTCAGATTACATGTTTAAACATGAGCAATTGGCACATGACCAAGCCAGGAATAGGCAGATTATAAATGTCATATTTTAAAAATTAATGCTACAACAACTGAAGCATTTTTCTGTTGGTTATGAGCTCTAAATTCTGGCCAAAGACTAGAACCACAAATAAAATGGTCCTTTAAGACTAGTGAATCATCTCCAAGTTGAGTGTATTCCTTCTCAGCTAATAAAATGAGATATTTTTGACCAACATTTCTCAAACTGTGTCCATGGAGAGATTAGGAAGATAGGGAAAAGATTATGTGGATTCTGGTTCAAAAAATTTTAGGAAATAATACATTAAGCAATAGCAACCCAGTTCCATGCAGCACGAATGTCAAAGTGATTGTGGCCACTTTTTAAAACCAATTAAATTAGTTTATTTTTATTTTTATTTTCTCTTTTTAGATGTATTAGTCCATTCTCACATTGCTGTAAAGAAATACCTGAGGCTGGGTAATTTATAAGGAAAAGAGATTTAACCGGCTCACGGTTCTGCAGGCTATAGAGGAAGCATGGTGCCAGCAGCTGCTTCTGGGGAGGCCTCAGGGAGCTTTTACTCATGGTGGAAGTCAGAGCTGGAGCAGAAAGTTCACATGGTAAAAACAGAAGCAAGAGAGAGTGAGGGAGGAGCTGCATACTTTTAAACAACCAGGTCCCATGAGAACTTACCATCTGAAAAATATTGTGGATAGTGCTAAACTATTCATGGGAAATCCACCCCCATGATCTAATCACCTCCCCAGGCCCCACTTCCAACATTAGGGATTACAGTTCTACATGACAGCTGGGCAGTGACACAGATCCAAGCCATACCACCAGACCACTCATGTTATTCTATAGAATATAATTTAGAAAAAACTACTTCCAACGTAAGGCCACTAGAGGTGATTTGCATAAAATTGAGGTTGTTTAAGGCCTTGAGTTCAACAATTCAGGGTTAAATATGAGTTAGATGTTTTCATAGGACCAAACAACATTTATAGGTCTTGAATAAATCTGAAATTTCTACTTTTATAAAGTCTAATATGTAGATACACTGGGTTTCATTGGATTCTAATTCCATTTTTTGTATTTTGGGGGGGGCATCATTTTTATCTTTACTACCGTAAAACAAGACACCATCACAGCCAACTCCAAATGGCCAGCTGTGAAGTGGAAGGAAAGATGGAACAAGAGGCAACCAACCATGTGTGGGTGCTCAGGTGGAGGGGACTGTGGTTGGTGGAAGACCCCTAAGTGGAGTGAGCTTGGATAGGGAGTCAGGATGGGAGGTGGCCAGGGAAGGGATGGGGCAGGGCCAGCCTGCATATGAAGGGCCTTCCTGGTTAAGGCAATAGCTTTGGATTTTTATGCAGGGATAATGGCAAACTGTTGAATTCTGGGCTGGGGATTGATGTGACTGCTGTTGCTGTGTGGAGAAAAGTGCGGGGGAGAGCAAACATACCATTAGATGACTAGTAGGAGGCTGGTGGAGACTGACTTGAGTGGCAGACATGGGGACAGAGAAAAAAAGGACAGATGTGAGAGATGTTTGGGGAAGCTTTGGTATGTTGGCTGATAGATTAGATGTGGGGGTGAGAGAAAGACAGTCATCAAGGATGATTCAGGTAAGGAATTTAGTGCATGTTGGTACCATCAATAGGTGTGGAAACTCTATTATTTAAGGTTATCAATCAGAAATTGAATAGCATTAATAATAGGCAAAGCCCTTTAGGCACTCTGTTCTTGGTGTATATGTGTGTGCGGAGGATGTCCTGTGAGCCACTTAGGCTCACTATAAATATCTTTCTGAAGCCTTCCTTGAATATACTACTCTGGCCTCCTACCTTTGCTCAAGCTGTTTTCTTTTTTCTGTTTCACCTTCAGCTTTATCTTACTCATGCTAGGTCAGACTTATCACTGACTTCACTGCATTTTTGTTGGCTGATTTCCAGTTAGTCAAAATAAAAGAAAGTGGATAGTTTTGGCCTTTGAAGCAAAAAGAGACACAGGGACCTCTCTTTCCAGCTTCCAACTCCGGATATAGCAGTTGATGGTCGACATCTCACAGTAATTATTAGGCACTATAATTTTGCTAAATTTACTTAAGCTAAACTAAAGACCACCAAGAGCACCTTCTACGGACTGATGTTATGTCCCTCTCTAAAAGCCATATATGTTGAAGCCCTAACCCCCAATGTGACTGTATTTGGAAGTGAGGCACTTAAGGAAGTAATTAAGATTAAATGAGGGCATCAGGGCAGTACCTAACCCAATAGGACTGGTGTCCTTATAAGAAGTGGGAGAGACACCAGAGAGCTTGCTCTTTCTCTCTCTGCCATGTGAGGACACAGAAGGTGGCTGTCTGCAAGTTTGGAAGAGAGCCTTCACCAGATACACAGTGGCTGGAAACTTGATTTCGGACTCTGGCCTCCAGAACTGTGAAAATATAACTTTCTGTTGTCTAAGCCATCCTGCCTGTGGTATTTTTTGCAGCAGCCTAAGATGACTAATACAGCACCCTTCTGCTCTTCTGTCTGACTGTGGTTTCTTGGAGAACTGCTGTCTTATATTCTTCTTACTTCCAATGGTCATTCAATTTCCATACGGTTTCCATGTAGTCTAATGTCAGTTCATTTTTATAAATTTAAACTATTTTTCCATTTTTCCCATAGTCATCCTTTTTTTTTTTTTTTTTTTGTTTAAGGAATCATCTTGCTCTGTTTCCTAGGCTGGAGTGCAGTAGTGCAATCTCGGCTCACTGCAACCTCCACCTCCCAGTTTCATGCAATTCTCTTGCCTCAGCCTCCCAAGTAGCTGGGACTACAGGCACACACCACCCACCACACCTGGCTAATTTTTGTATTTTTAATAGAGACGGTGCGGGGGGGGAGTTTCACTATGTTGACCAGGCTGGTCTCGAACTCCTGGCCTCGTGATCCACCCACCTCAGCCTCCCAAACTGCTGGGATTACAGGCATGAGCCACTGTGCCAGGCCTCTTTGTTCATGTTAGTGTATGGAGACTTTTTTATTTGTTCAGGCTAGTCTGTTCGCCTTTTCTTCCTTTGAAGAAATTATCTGTTCTCCTTATAAGTTTTACAGTGTTCAAACTTTGGATCATGTCTTTTTCTCTCTTTGATCTCTTTCTAAATATCCCTTTATTTAAAACTGTGCATGGATTTTCTCCTAAAATCATGTGGTGAGGAAAATGAACTTTTACATTTCTTCAGGAAAGTAAACCTGGTCAAAGACTACAGTTGGGAGAAATTTTAGACACTCACGTATGTGACTAGACTGTGGATGTGAATGGTGTCTCGTTAAGCTTGTCTCAGGCTTTCATATGGCAAAGTAGTATTTTTAAGTTCTTTTTAGGTCCTGCCTTTACCTCAGGATGCATTTTCTTATAATCTGATTACAATATTTTTTAATGGAGACTATTTTCTCTTGTACAAGTTATATGACAAAAGTACATTTGGCTTGTCTTCTGTTTGTTTGAGTTGATTGTGTTCTGATTAGGAATGCTAAGTCACCTATGCAAAAGCAACTGAGAACTAACTTAAAAACATGAATTATTGGGGAAATGTTTGTACACCCATGTTCATAGCAGCATTTTTTGCAATCGCCAAAAGATAGGAACAGCCCAAATATCCATCACCCAATGAATGAGTAATGCAAATGTGGTACATAACATTCCCTGGAGGATTTGTCAGTCTTGAAAAGAAAGAGAACTCTGACATATGCCACAACAATCTTGAGGGTATTACGCTAAGTGAAATAAGCGTGTCACAAAAAGACAAATACTATATGATTCCACTTATATGAGGTATCTAAAGTAGTCACTTTTTTTTTTTTTTGAGACGGAGTCTCGCTCTGTCACCAGGCTGGAGTGCAATGGCGCGATCTCGGCTCACTGCAACCTCCGCCTCCCGGGTTCAAGCGATTCCCCTGCCTCAGCCTCCTGGGTAGCTGGGACTACAGGCACACGCCACCACACCCAGCTAATTTTTTTTTTGTTTTAGTAGAGATGAGGCTTCACCATGTTGGCCAGGATGGTCTTGATAAGCAGTCAAATTTACAGAGGCAGAAAGTTAGAACGGTGGTTACCAGGGGCTGGAAGGAAAGAGAAATTGAGAAATTGTTTAATAAGTACCGAGTTAACAATACTGAACTGTCCTCTAAAAATGGGTAAGATAGTAAGTTTTATGTTACATGTACTTTACCACAAATAACTTAAAAAACGTATTGCACCTCTTCTCTTAAAATAGCTGCATGGGAAAATTGATTTTATTTGTAAGTAAAGACCTAGGTGAATTAACTTGAACTAGTACTATATTGTGACATTGTATTTTATAAACAACTTCCAAAATCATAATCATAATTATTTTGTCCTGGTATTTTTTTAAAGGATGTGTGTGATGGTATTGAATTTGGACTTTTTTTTTTATTATAGCCATATGTTGAAAAAAATCAAGCCTTAGAAAATGAAAAGTATATTGTAGGCTTAAAAATTATAATAACATGGTCGGGCGCAGTAGCTCATGCCTGTAATCTCAGCACTTTGGGAGGCCTAGGCGGGCAGATTACCTGAGTTCGAGATGAGCCCTGCCAACATGATGAAACCCCATCTCTACTAAAAATACAGAAATTAACCAGGCGTGGTGGCACACGCCTGTAATCCCAGCTACTTGGGAGGCTGAGGCAGGAGAATTGCTTGAGCCCGGGAGATGGAGGTTGCAGTGAGCCAAGATCAAGCTGCTGTACTCTGACAGAGCGAGACTCTGTCTCAAAAAAAAAAAAAAATATATATAACAACATTTGGGAAAATAGAATGATAGTAATTTTATCTGTCTTTATATTCTTTAACACTTTGGTGACTGAATTATAGACAACTAGTGTATAAGCTACAGGAAAGCAGAGATTTTGGTCTGTTCTGTTAATTTCTAGAATAGTAACTGGCACATAGGAACTCCATGACTCTTCATTTAATGAGTACACGTTGAGAGTATCCAAGTACTAATTACTCTTTGGGCACGTGGATTGTGGAAGTGTGGAGACCAGTCCACAGTTCTCCTAGATATAAGGAGCTTTCCCTGTGTCTGTTGATCACATAATTATTCATCAGTGAGCTCTTTGTTGCTTTTGTATCTTAGGGTAAATAATTTAAACAGATCATATAGATAAGACACTGAAAATCTCTCCACTGAGAGGTGGAGAGATTCGTCTAGGGTCTCAAAATAAATGACTAACAGAATTGTTCTCTGTTCAGGACACTAAGTGATGCAAGAAATATTTAGTGACCACCGACTCTGTGAAGGTCTTGAGCTTGGCTTTGTGAATATAGCTATGAATAAGAGAAATACGCAATCCCTGCACTCAAGGAATTTATTATCTGGTGTGTGTGTGTGTTTGGCACGGAGGTGATATAACTGCTTCCTGAACTCAATACAATCTTTTCATTACAGAGCCTCATTTTAGCCCCAATTTCTGTATCTTTTCTTTGTTTTTTTCCCAATCACTATCTTTTGACTGGACTATACTACTGAAAGGAAGTGGAGTCCTTAGGCATCTCTGGGTGGTCTGGAGTGATCTCATCTTCCAGGAAAGCTGTTACACAGACGTTAGTTTCTGAAAATGATATGACATGCAGCTCACTGTAATACAATCTATTAATTCAACAGATAAAGTTTTATGTTCTAATCTCCCAGAATAGTACTTAAACAGTTTAGTGCACATGAATCACCCAGGAATCCTGTTAAATAAAGCAGATTCTGATTGAGTAGCTTGGTGTGGGGCCTAGGATTCTGCATTTCTAATGAGCTCCCAGGTGTTGCTGAATCTGCTGGTCCAAGGCTGGTATTGTCAGTGACAAGGCTGCAGGTTCTTAGCCCTGGTTGTTCATTACAACCCCCTGGGTGGATTTTTACAAATACCAATGCCCTTAGAGATTTGCTTTAATTGGTCTGGGCTTGGGCTCCAGCATTCATATTTTGAAAAACTTTCCAAGTGAGTTTTATGTTCTACCAGCACTGAAGACCACTTCCCTGCACAAACACAACTGATGCTGCCTGTCATTGTGTGTAACTGAATCCACTGATGTGAGTTGGTGCATATCAGTACCTTTTATAAATGCAAGGAAGGCTGGAGGCTGGGGAAATTGTCATAAGACAGCACCCAGTGCAGGGACTAGTGTACAGCAGTGTGTTTGCTGAATAAGTGAGTGAGGCAACGAGTCATTTTCAGACACTGTAGAGGATGGCTAGTGACTGGATCCCAGTGCTGTTGCCTGGAGCTCTAGCAACTGTATTTGGTATCTCTAAACATGCTGGCTATGGGATAGCAGAGTTAATAGAATGAGACTGGGGCCTTCTACTTCCAGATAAAAATTTGGAAAGGTATTAGAAGGAAGGTACTGGGGAAATAAGTTTTGATCTATGATAGATAAGATAATTGAAAACCAAACCAAAGAAATTAAATTCAGAGTGGAGAGGTGTATTAGTCCATTCTCACACTGTTATGAAGAAATGCCTGAGACTGGGTAATTTATAAAGAAAAGAGGTTTAATTGACTCACAGTTTCACATGGCTGGGGAGGCCTCAGGAAACATAGAATCATGGCAGAAAACAAAGCAAACACATCCTTCTTCACATGGCGACAGGAGAGACAAGTGCCAAGCAAAAGCGGGGAAAAGCCCCTTATAAAACCATCAGTTATCATGAGGACTCACTCACTATCACGAGAATAGCATGGGGGTAACTGCCCCCATGATTCAATTACCTCCCACCTGGCTCCTCCCACAACATGTGGGGATTATGGGAACTACAAGATGAGATGTTGGTGAGGACACAGCCAAGCCATATCAAGAGGCATAAATCGAAGGTAGCCTTCCAGGGACTGAGGTCAGATTTGTCCCAAGTTAGACACTTTGGGCACATATTTTCAACAGACATTCCACAAAATATGCAAGTATTTATTTTTTGATAGTATGTTTAAATACAAATAGAAATCAAGCCTTAAAAATGACTCGCTGATGAAACTACATTTCTCCTGCTCGGGACTGCATTTCAGATACTGTCCATTTGCATCTGGGTCCATGATGTGCTGTTGAAATAACATGAACTCAGCTTGTAGGTGAAGGTGGGGAGGGAAACATGCATTTTTCCATCTGAACAGAAAGTGTGTTCTGGCTTTTTTCTGAGATATTATTTTTATTGAATTTTAAGACCCACACAGGAAGTGGCTTTCACTTGGTTTCATCTTCCTGATCAGTGCATGTTGGGGACAAAGGAGAGAGGAGGGAGTTAACCTGGATAAGTCTGCTGCTTCTTCGGGAGAGTGGGGCATCCCACCAACCTGCTGCCCATGTTGCTTTGTGGGGATACATGAAGCAGCTTCTAGAAAGGCTTCTCTAGGAGCTTGGTGAGGCTGTGCAATGCCTTTTTTGCAAAACGCTTGCTGTTCACTAATGGAGCAGATGAAATAATAAAGCCAACCAAGGAAGCAACTTAATGGGGAACTAACCAGCCACAGTGGCTTTTGGAACTCTTGTGCCTTGCTGCACATCACTTTGAAGTAGTCTGTGGAGTCCATGCTTCTGATCCTTGGAACATTTGGTTCATTTTTATGTCATTGTTGTCTAGCGCTAACCGCAACTGGTCCCATAGACCTGAAGTAGCCCAGGTGCAGGGGCAAAGCAGTGGCCAGGTGTGAGTGCTGAGGGCCTAAATATTTCAAGTACAAAACGCCCAGGAAAACAACCACCGGGGGCTTTACCATACTTATAAAAAGGAATCCTTCCCTCTGAAAGCCTCCAGCCTGACTGTAGGCAGAAGCAGAAGCAGCCATTGCCCATGCAAGGTGAGGAAGAACAGGTGTTGGTGAACAGAGTGGGCTCAGGTCATCATTTGTGTGGCAAAATTCTATCAGGGATGAAAGTATCAGCAATGGGACCACCTGGAACCCAAGCTCTGCCACTTTCTTGCTATGTGATCCTGGGTAAGTTATTTAGCCCTTCT
Source organism: Homo sapiens (assembly GCF_000001405.40). NCBI lineage: Eukaryota > Metazoa > Chordata > Mammalia > Primates > Hominidae > Homo > Homo sapiens. The sequence continues at coordinate 806,032 of NW_025791814.1, read as the reverse complement.
GTTCCGCGGTTTTCTCCTCTGGAAAATGATGAGGATGATACTACTCTGCTCATAGGGTTGTTTTAAGGGTTAAATGAGGTACTGCATAGAAAACACTCATCTCAGGGCTGGGCATGCACAGTGCATGGGTGTAGCTATCATCATCCTCCTCATATTTAGAATGCTTTTCTGTGGCCACCCATCATCAGTATGTGCCTATCTTCATCAGCAGTGAAGAGGACAGAAGCTTCTTTCTCCCTTCCTGGCATGCTGGAGATGTGGTTGGTCTCCTCAGGTTACCATTAAATTGTTGGCAGTCCCCACTGAGAGTAGGGATGCAGCCAACTCCACAGGCACCTGAGGAGCTGGCCCTCTAGCAGGTGTCAGCCAGGAGAGACATTTACCAAACTGAAGTTGGGGAAAAGCCTGAGCTGATTCCACACTCTAAGTCACCTTAGGGCCCAAAGAACAGGTGGCATGAGATACTCAGGGAATGCTATGGCAGCGTGCCTAACCATGGTTCTGCAATCTTCACACCCGAGGTCATGGCAGCGGACAATTTCTGTCTTCTGGATAAGATGGGGGTGTATCTGTCTGTGAGCATTCATTCACTGATTCATTCAAAGTGGATGGATTGGGCATTGCCATGGACCAGACCCGGCACAGATGGGGTGCCCAGGGTGGAACGGTGAGCAGTAGTGCCAGCTGTGTCTGTGCTCATGGGCCTATGGTCTTGGGGAAGACCTCAAGTAATCATGTAAATAATGACCTGCTTACAATTGTGAGACCTGCTGGAAATGAACAACAGGAGTGGGGGCTGTACGGGGAATTTCAGGGGACCTGGCCTGTCAGAGGTCAGGGAATTTATGCCCTGGAAAGTGACAAGTTGTCCTTTAGATTGGTTAAAGAAAAATGAAAGTGCGGAGAGGACATTCCAGGCAAGGGGAACAGGTGCAGTGGGCACTCACAGAAGGCCAAGGGGACAGCCCTGTTCCACAACAGCCTGCTCAGAGTCCAGTTTGCTCCTTGCTCCTGATTGGAGATTTTTCACATACTGTCTCCCAGCAGAGGATTCTGTCCACAGGTATTGACAGGGCCTGGCTGGTCTCTTCTTGTCATTCAAGTTGTAGTTCAGGAAGGATGCACCCAGAAGGCTGCTTTTGACTACTCACTCTGAATTTGCCACCTCCCCATGCCCAGCCTGCCTCTGTGTTTTCTTTGAAATTCTGCCGTTCCTTTATTCCTTTGCTTGCTATTTATAAAGAAAAGAGGTTTAATTGGCTCCCAGTTCTGCATGCTGTAAAAGCCTGGCACCAACATGTGCTCAGCTTCTGGTGAGGGTCTCAGGAAGCTTGCAATCATGGCAGAAGGTGAAGCAGGAGCACGCACACCACACGGGGAAAGCAGGAACAAGAGGGAGAGAAGAGGAGGTTCCAGACTCTTAAACAACCAGATCTCCTGTGAACGAACTGAGTGAGAACTCACTTATCACCAAGGGGATGGGAGGTCCACCTCCAGGACCTGGTCACCTCCCACCAGACCCCACCTCCAACACTGGGAATCACATTTCCACATGAGATTTGGAGGGGACAAACATCCAAGCCCTATCACCTGTGTACCATTTGTTGCTTCTCCTCTGAACAAAAGTCCTCAAAATAGGTTCTTCGTCACATCCACTGTTGTCCCTTATTTTCAGGACACTGTCTGACAATCTGACAAGGAAGTAGTGGGCACTCCACGTCTGTGGAGCAATGGACAGTGGCTCCCAGTCTGGCCAAATTTCCCTAACATGAAAGCATGGAACACTTCCTCTCACAGGTCAAACGCGTGGAATGAATTTGCAATGCAATTCTCGGCACAGCTGACTTTCCTTGTTGCTTCTGCTGGTTTTGATCACTTTCCCTGGGGTGCTGTGCCATCAGGAGCAGGGGCCTCCTCTTTCCTCTCCTGTCGGTCCTCTCCAAGTGATCTGCAACTTCATCCCGGGGGGAAACAGGGCAGGGAACTTCCTCCTCAATTTCTGATATTGCAAGGTAGCAAACTCACACAGGCCTTGATAACAATAAATGAAGAGTCAGGTCTTTACAAATATGATGAGAAAATACAATGGAAGTCCCAGTGGGGAGTCCCCACTTACTCCTTCCATGCCAATACAGATCTCCCTACAGACTTTACCACTGGTTCTATATATATGCGATGCCAGTGGGAAGGTATTTCTCAGCCGTTAGAATAATCCATTTCCTTTATCCCGGACTATGGATAAGAGGACATTTGCAGGAGAGGGGAGACACTTAGGAAGAAAAGACTGGCTTTGTGAATAGAAATACATTATTTGTGCATATGTTGTAGCTCGACTAGACTTTGAGCAGACTGATATCTGAAAACATATTTATAAGCCTGTTATAAACTCATAATTCTAAAATATTGAATTTTATTTATTTTGCATCTATAAACTGAGTTTTGAATTTGTGCAGTAATTTGCATTATTCAGAACTCTTGATTGCAAGTGACAAACAGAAATCAAAAAAAAGTCTTATTGGCTCACAGAACTGAAAACTCCAGGAGTAACTGCCTTCAGGCCCAGAAGCATCAAGGTGTCCAGAAACTCTGACAGGAGCACCTCTCACTCTTGCTGTCAGTCTTACTGCTCTTGGAGTACTCTGGTTTAGATTGGCTCCTTGGCATACCTAGCATGGCACGTTGCACACAACCCCAGTGACAGTAGCTCAGTAGCCAGGGGGAAAGAGTCTTCTTTCTCCAAAATCCCTGAGAAGGGTCATGTCACATGCCTATCTGTGAACGAGTCACCATGTCTAGGGGCACAGAGGTGATGACCTTGGTCTCATGCCCATGAGGGATGGCTCCTCAAAGGAAAACCCAAGTGCTCTTATTCTAAGAGGGAGAATTGGATGCCCAGAGACAAAGTCTATAGATGTACGTGGTCCAGTGTTGAAGCGGTGGGAGGAGAGTGCCGGCAACACAGGCAATTCCACGTTGTGTGCGACTGGCCTGTGCATATGGAGGTGTTCAGTGACCTGGCCCTGGACACTCCTGCTAACAGGACACACACATACTCTCTTACACACATACATGTCCACACACACCACACACACACACATATACACCCCCCCCACACACACACTTTGACATACACTCACATGCTTATATTCCCCCCACACCATGCACAGACATACACTCACATGCACATATGTCATACACACACCACACACACTGACATACATACACTTAACATGCATACATGCACACACCACATGACATACACTCACACATACACACCACACACATACATACTACACATACTGGCATACACACAGGTGCGCACACACACACACTCACATGTGCACACACACACACATCATTGACAACTATGAAAAGCCCCTGCATACCTCAGAGCCCCTCAAGCTGGGCTTCTGATGACACCTCAGGCACTCTCCCCTTTTTATTTTGTTTCCCATTTACTTCCTACCTTACCCTGTTCAGGCTGCCGTAATAAAGTTTGATGGACTGCGTCGCTGAAACTACAACAGTTCATTTCTCATGGCTCTGGAGGCTGGAAGTCTGAGATCAAGATGCCCGCAGGGTGCTGGTGAGGGCCCTCTTCCTGGTGGCAGAAGCCGACTTCTCCTTCTTTCTTTGCCTGGCAGGGAGCAGGGAAGGAAGTGAGTGGTCTTGTGGCTCTCTGAGGGCACTGATTCCATTCTGCCCCACCTCCCATAGCATCATGTTGGGGAACAGGGTTCCAGCATATTAATTTAGGGGACACAAACATCCAGCCCCTAACACTTCCATTCTCATTAATTGCCTTCAAAGAGAGCTAAGCTAATCCTAATGGTAACTTTGGCATAAAGCAAAACTTTGAGAAGATGACATCTGATATCTGCTGTTCAATGCATGCTTGTTGGGAGAAGAGTGTTAAGATTTGGACTTTGCGTCACTTATGGCCAAAATAGGACGCTCCTGTATGTCTGCACTTGAATTTAAATATGCCAGTCTCAATATAAAGCACGGAACTCATGCTGTTTAAGCAAGAGCACATATTAAGGCTGGCATGTCTGTCAAGATAATAATTTTGATAGAGGATTAAAAAAAGGAAAAAAATGTAGAGAACTGAAGGTAAAAGATAGCCAGGATTAGACCTTTCAATATTAACAGTGAACTTTCTTTAGATATTTCTTACATAATCATCAATGCTTATAAATTCTAGTGCTTCTGTCTTTTCACAGTGTTGTGTTTTTGTTTGTTTGTTTGTTTGTTTTAACAACGTAATGTGCTTATTCCTCAGGCTTCAGGTAACCTCTGTAATTACACACCCAGTGCTGATGCCCACGGGCTGCCACAAGGCTGGGCATGTTACTTTATGCTCTAACCCTATGTGTTCAATAAGTACTTTGAAAAAAATAATATCTTGCTAGGCATATTTTAAATCATAAAAATCTCAATTTTAGGGTTTTCTTCCCTCAAATGTTAATTTACTATATTATTTACACTTATTTGCCAAACAGGGAACTTTTGCTCAAAGAAACAGGTGCAGTTTTAGAAGCTGAAATTAAACACCTCTCTATTCTCATATTGCCTTTTTTCCCTTTGGACACGCCCCAAAGCAGACATCCTGCTTACAAAAGAGAGCTTAATGGCCTCCCTCCTGCTCTCCCTGCCTGAAGTCTTTCTAGAATTTGGAAATATGTCCATTTTGTTAGGGCAATCTGTTAGTGTTAATGATTTTATCAATCTAAACTCCACTAAAAGAAGCAAATCAACACAATGCTAATAAATTCTGTTTGTTTTCTAATCCCAAGAAGACACAATAAATTAACATACATTTTTAATTTTAATTATAAAACCTTTCAAATAGGGATGTTGTCTCTCTTATCCTCACTGTCATTCTTGTGCCTGGTACAGAGCAGATATTTTGTGAGGGTTATTTTTGTTGTCGAATAATTGTATTTTAAATACACAGAAAAGGACAGAGAGTCACAAAAACAAAAAGCACGAAAGAAAACAAAAACCAGGTACTTAAGCCCAACATAGAGTCAGATGTTTATGCTTTGCCACATTTCATTCATTCCTTTTTTTATGAATACGAGTGTTAGATAGAATTGAGGTCCCACTCACATTTTCTATACACATCTTGAAACCTCTGCAACGTATTTGTGAATCTGTAAACCATAGAAACTAACACAGTGTATTTTTCAAATGCATATAAATGATATCGTGCATGCTAAGATTTTTCTTAGATTTCCTATAAATCATTTCAATCAAACTCTCCCTACTTTTCTGTGGAAACTATGTAACAAAATGCTCTATTTCCGGAAGCCTCCAGGCCAAGGGTGAGTGAGCCTGGGGTGTTCAAATGTAATCAGAGTCCAAAACAGGCCCTTGCTTGGGCTCAAACTAAACTGAGTTAAGAAATTAGCCTGGAAGGGAGAGAAGGTGATGTCAGATCTTAATAGGATAACATTGCCATGAGTTCTCCTTGCAATAGAGGAGGCTGCTTTTCTTCAGCAGTTATTGAGATGTATGTTTCTTTTTTCACTAAATTTCTGTTATTGTCGGTTGATTTTGACCACAGGTTGTTGTCTTATTGTCTTGACTGTCAAGGACATATAATGGCAGAGGGATTCTTAGGTCAGCAGACATGCTCTCAGCTTAGGCAAGCCTCAGGGGCTGTATGTGTTTCAGAATTTCTCACATTTTAGATAGCTATCTAAAAGTAAATGTTACCATACTCTGCATGTTTTCTACACCCTCACGGTGGAATGTGGGGCAGTAATGCTTCAAGATTTCTTCAGCAGAACTGTGGAATTTTTATTCTGTGTGTAATGAACAAGGCTCAAATAGAACCTCACGTCCATTTGGGCCATGTTTTGGCAGCAGGTGAATCATGAAAATACTTTTTCATTTTTGAGGTATTTTTGGATTGTGGGATTGCAGATAAGGGATTGTAGATGGGTGTTATTGTTGTTGTTACAATATAAATTTCTATAACTTCTGGCCAGTTGTTAGAATTATCCCTTGTTTTTCAATGTTGACTCCTATCCCTCCCTACCTCTCTCCCTCCTCCTTTGATTTCTTCTTTCCTGCTTTCCTTCCTTCCTTTCTTTCTCTTGTCATTTCTTTAGGATTTGAAGAGAGGGCACAGTATACGATCTTTAAGGACTCAGATTTTCAAGTTAAGCATATCTGTGGCCAAATTATCTTTCTGCTGCTCATTAACTGTGTGGCCATTTTTCTATGTAACTTCAGGAGTTTCAGTTTCCTGAGATAATCATATCTACCTCCTGTGGTTTTGGGAAGATGCAGTAAGGTGATGGATGTCAAAACATTTAACACAGTCTTTAGCATATAACTAGCACTTGATAGATGACCACTGCTAGTATTGCTGTTGTCGTTACCATATCACACAGCATGCACCATTTGCTATTCTCTTTTAAGCAATGAATTTATTCACATTCAATTTCTTGAACATTTTTGAAATGCATCTGGTCTTCGCTTACATGTATGTTATTTGGCAACCTGTCTGAAAATATTATTAATTATGGTTTCTATCGTTGGCTTTAGCTTTAAATGTTGCTTGAAGGCCCCTGGCACACAGCCATGCTTGACCATGTGAGGAACATGATGCTGCCCCCATCAGGTACAGCCTAATGGGGTGGATGGATGGATCGATCGATAGATACATAGATAGATAATAGATAGACAGATAGGCAGATAGACGATAGATAGGCATATACATAGATAGATAGATAATTGGTAGATATGCAGAAGAAAATTAGATGGTAGAAAGGCAGATAGATGAAAGATAGATACATAGATAAATAGATAGGCATATACATAGATGGACAGATAACTGATAGAACACAGATGATAGATAGATAGATAATAGATAAATAGTAGATAGATGGATAGTAGATAGATAATAAACAGAAAACAGAATAGATATGAGAGAGATGATAGATAACTAGAGTGATAGAGAGATGAGAGAGATGATAGATAGATAGATAGATAGATAGATAGATAGATAGATACTCATCTGATCACCAAACAGGTGTGAACAGAGGATGTTTTAAAGTGTGGGATTCTGCATTTGCTGTGAACAGGAGTACACCAGACAATCCTTCTATAGGAGGAAGGGAAGAATGCATGGGGCCAAGGTTTTATTTTGCTAAGAAATCATAGCCTTCCCAGAGTTTAATTGCCTCCATTTTTATCAAATAGTTAGAAACACGACTATTTTTTTTGACCCTTGGAGGCACATTGGTGACATCTGTGGGGGCAGCGTTACTGATGGTTGTCCGTCTGTATGTTGCTGAGCCCTGCAATCCTGGTATCCCAAGATGCCTCCCCTCTTCCAAAGAAGCACTTAAGAGCTCAAGTTGATTACCGCAGGGGCTTGAAGACGAAGCCTCATTTGCCCGATTATCAGAACAGATGAGGTGTGCACACAGCCTTTGCAACTTTCCATTCATCTCAGGAACTAAAATGAGTAATATTTTTAAGACTAATGTCTTAAATTTATGATTTTATTTGATTCTTTATTCAGCAATTTGAATATTATGGTTGATTACAAGTACATAATAAGAGCCTTTCTGTGATTGGCATTTTCATTTTTCTAGGTAAATAAAGTACCTCTTGATCTGTTTTTATTTTTCTTCCTACCCCCACTCCCCCCATCAATTTTCTTTCACTTGTGTTTCTCTACACATACTGTGGGCATCCCAAGGGGACCGTAGTCTTCTTGTTCATGTTTCAGACTTGTAAGTCGTATGCAAATGCAGCCATATTTTACAGATTGGCAATTTTGCTATAATTAAGCTTCATGAATATGAAGATTCTTGTAGAATTCCCAGGACGCCCCATGGTGAGGATTTGCAATGAAATTTCTTCTCAGCTCACTGTGACCTATTAGAGTGTCAGTTTGGCTCAGTTTCAACATGGTGTTTACTCTTATGAAGTGCAAACCACTTATTAGCTAATTTTTAAGCCATGACAGAAGCAGCCTGAGAGGCACATTTGTCCAGAGGGCTTGACAAAAAGCTAGAAGGTCAGTGTCTTCACAGACCCACTGAGGTTCAGAAATTAAATGATAATTTTGTAAACCAGGCAGGAAGTGACATTTGTGCAATTGCCTTTGATATGTTTTCTTTGGCTGTGTTTGGTTTCTTTGTCTCTGCAGAATCTCAGAATGAGCCAGCCTCTAACTAAAATGGCGCTGCTTCATCTTAAAATCTCTTTGTGACAGCTTATGACAGGAGATCCCTTGGAACCCTGGTTCTCTGTGGGACCTTTCCTGGACTCCTGTGTCTGCAATACAAATGTTAATTCTCAGCTCTATTAATACCTCAATATCACTTAAAAGATATCCAAGGGAAACTTTACCTGGCCAATTTCTTTCCACAAAGTAGCATTTCTGAATTGGAGATTGCTGGTTGGCTCATTCTTATTTTATTTACTTTTGTAAACAGGTTATCATTTATAATTCAAAACTCAAAAAGCATACAGAAAAAATTCTAGTCTCACTCCAGTCCCTTACTCTCCATTCCCTGGTATGCCTCCCCCACCCTCAGGTACTAATAGTTATTCATCGGTATCCAACCTTCCAGAAATTCTCTTGTATATACACAAAACAAATAGAAATGTATCACTTTGTACCACCAGTACTTTAGAAATCATTTCAGCATGGGTACTCCTGCGGGGTACTCCCTGATCAGATTGCCGCGTTGTGGAAGATTTCTTTCTGCCTGTCAATTTTATTTCCAGAAAATAGTGGTCACATTGCTTTAGGGTAAGTCACCAAAGGGTGTAGCTGCGCCTGTGTCTGTGCAGCCCTCTGGTATCCTGTTCTCAGCTGAAAATAAAGCCCTGGAATTGGTCCATTTCACTTTTTCTTTTTCTTGCAGTTTGAAAGGCACTTGAACTAGCCCACTAATGTTGCTTTTTACTCCTTTTACATTTTAAAAGGAGTCGTACCCTGGTTTATTTGCTTTTATTGCCTGTGAAAATGGCCTGAGTAATTAGACCAACAGAGAATTGCATCTTAAGGGCTAATTATTGATATATTCCTTGTGTCAGCTCAAAAGTAACCTCTGGGGATAGAAGATTAGGCAGAGTATGCCTGCCCATGAATATACACTGTTCATGCCTCTCTAGGCTTCAACACACACAAGGTCATGTAAGGCAACCTTACCTACCCCATTAGGGTCCAGAAAGATATCCACCTAGGAGAGAGTGTAAATATCACACCCATCAACTCACTCTTATGCCCAGTGGCTCATCCTTTCAAACATGCAAAACTTTCTATAATGGGGAATCTGAAATACTTTAACAAGTTTAAAAATCTTTATTGAGCACAGATTTTGATTTTTAAAAAATATTTTTGATAGACATACTATGGTTCAAGTCCCATACTTGCATTAAAGGGTTAAGGTGGAACAATGCTTCATGCACAGTTAGCATTTCATATTTTTTGTCCAGTGAAGAAAAGAAAACATTCTCAACTTTGATCTCCTTTAGTTTAAAATGAGATAAGATAAGATACACTCCAGCATCATGCTCTTACTTAAACTGAGCTGATTCTCTTGATTTCTATTTCTTGCTTTCCTCGCCATTGGCCTGAAATGAGTAGGCATGACAATTTTTGTCCATATGTTGTATGTAATTAAACTCCAGCCTTTACATTGCCACCATCAAAGACAGCGAGGAAGAGACATTTTATTATTGCAATTCACTGTCTTAAGGTGGAAGCTTCTGCAACGGTGACACAGAAGCGTGATGGAGAAGGCACAAAAATGATCCATCTTGCTCTTTTAAGAGAGGAGAACATACCGGACTTGTGCAGACAGAACTTTTTTTTTTTTTTCTATTGAAGCATCTTCTAGTGCATTTAAGCTTTTTTCTTGTCAACTTGAGGATGGAGTGAAGAAATAACACACACAGCTTGTTTGACAGTGTGGCTATTAATGAAGCAAGCAACAACAGCTTTCACTCATGCACAACAGGGCTTGGCTGTGTGGTTTGCAAAAAGCGATGAACATTTTCACATTAGGATTTTGAAGGGGCTGGTGAGGAAACTAAAGATCATCAGCATTTGCGTGTGAAAATAAAATGGAAACGTTAAGAAAGGTTGAATGTAGCCTTCAAAAGGGGGTAGAAAGAACAAAATGAAATAAGAGTTGCTCTGGTTTGAATGTATGTGTCCCCCCAAAATTCATATGGTGGAACCTAAAACCCAATGTGATAGGACTGAGCAGTGGGGCCACTAAGGAAATGATTACATCATGAGCACTCTGCTTCCATGGATGAGATGAGTGCTTTATTTTTGTTTTGTTTTGAGACAGTGTCTCACTCTGTCACCCAAGCTGGAGTGCAGTGGTGCAATCATGGCTCACTGCAACCTCCACCTCCTGGGCTAAGCAATCCTCCAGCCTCAGCCTCCCAGGTAGCTGTGACTGCAGGTGTGCACCACCACACCTGGCTAATTTTTGTATTTTTCGTAGAGATGGGATCTTGCTATGCTGCCACGCTGGCCTGGAGCTCCTGGACTCAAGCGATCCCCTCACCTTGGCCTCCCAAAGTGCTAGGATTATAGGCATGACCTACCATGCCAGGTGGATTAGTGGTCTTAAAAAAGAGGTTGAATAGTGGCTCATGCCTGTAATCATAGCACTTTGGAAAGTCAAAGCAGGAGGATCACTTGCATCCAGGAGTTCATGACCAGTATTGGCAACATGGCAAAATCCTGTCTCTACAAAAATTAAAAAAAAAGAAAAAAATTAGCCAGACATGGTGGTGCACACCTGTAGTCCTAGCCACTTGGGAGGCTGAGGTGGTAGGATGGCTTGATCCCAGGAGGTCAAGGCTGTAATGAGCCGTGATTGTGCCACTGTGCTCCAGCCTGGGTGACAGAGTGAGACCCTGTCTCAAAAAAAAAAAAAAGAGAGACAGATTGAAGGGAGCACAATAGCACCTTTTGCCCTTCTCCCATGTAAAGGTGCAGCTATAGGGTGACATTTTAGAAGCAGAGAGGAAGCCTTGCCTAGACACCAAATCTGTCTGTGCCTTGATGTTGGACTTCCCAGCCTTTAGAACTGAGAGAAATAATTTTATGTTATTTCTAAATGACCTGGTCTCTTGTGTTTTGTTATAGCAGCACATGTGGACTAAGACAAGCATGATATTTTAGGTTCCTTAAGCAGGGTAGAGAAGAGAGTCAGAATCCTAATATGTCTAGTTGCTGTCAAGATGGGTGCATGAGTGTGGCACGCTGTGGACTGTGCACTGCAAGAAAGCAGGCTCCATTTTCTCTCTCCTTCTCTGGCTGCTTCGGAATCTCCCTAAGCTAGCTAGTGATTACCTAGTACAAATACGCATTTCCAGACGTATCTCCCTGTCTAGACTGAGAGTATCTCCACAGCTGAGGGGGTATCCTTAACCCCTGGTGGAAAATCTGGTACTTAGTAAGTGTGGCAGGCAGAGTAATGGCCCCTAAAGATGTGCGTGTCCTAATTTCTGGAAGGTGAATATTTCACCTTACATGGCAAAAAGGATTTTGCAGATGTGATTAAGAATCTGGAGATGTGATTACCATGAATCACCTGGATGGGCCCGGTGTTGTTCAAGGGTCATTATAAGTGAAAGTCAGAGTCAGGAGAGTCAAGTTCAGCATGATGAGATGTGAGGAAAACTCCGCCAGGCACTGCTGACTTTGAGGATGGAGGAAGCAGCCATGAACCAAGAAACAGGGATGGCCTCTAAGAGCTGGAAAACACAAAACACACTTTCTCCTCGAGCCTTCAGAAGGAGCACAGTCCTGCCAACACCTTGATTTTAGTCCAGTGAGATCCATTTAGGATTTTGATCTCTAAAGCATGAGGTAACAAATTTGTGTTATTTTGTGCCACCAGGTTTGCAGTGATTTGTTACCGCAGCTGTAAAAATTTAGTGCAGTGAACAATCAAAATCGAACAGCCTCTTGCTTCACATGTGCCATGTGCTGACATCAAAGAGGTGCTGAGAAAGTACTGCTATTGATTTTGTACTAGCACCAGAAAGCAGAGAGCATGCTTCTAGGACTCAACCTAGAGCTCCATTTCTATGCTCTTGATAAACAACTTCCATCTGCATATTTGGGTCCATTTCCCTGATAGCCAATATGATTTTTAAAGGAAAACAAAAATATTTTTACCAGACAGTAATATCGTATTGGTGATTGGGTTAAAAAGCTAACAGTTTTTCATGTATGTAATGGGTGTGAGGTTTTTCTTTTTTTCTTTTTTCTTTTTCTTTTTGAGATGGAATCTCAATCTGTCACCCAGGCTGGAGTGCAATAGTGTGGTCTCGGCTCACTGCAACCTCCGCCTCCTGGGTTCAAGCAATTCTCCTCCCTTAGCCTCCCGAGTAGCTGGGATTACAGGTGCCCGCCACAATGCCTGGCTAGTTTTTATAGTTTTAGTAGAGATGGGGTTTCACCATGTTGCCCAGGCTGGTCTTGAACTCCTGACCTCATGATCTGCCTGCCTTGGCCTCCCAAAGTGCTGGGATTACAGGCGTGAGCCACTGCGCCTGGCCAGGTATGAGTTTTAATCCACAAAGACGGCATGGTTAGAATTGAAGTTGTATTTTTGTATAGTTCAACTTAATTTGTAACATATACTGCATGATGCCAGGTGGTAGAATCTTAATTTCATTTAATTCACGATGATCACAGTCAACGCGGGGTCTTCTCCACTCTGTGTCTGGGTGCTTTCCTCTGTGTTTAGGAGTCTAACCTGGGGCTAAAGGATCTCAGCAGACCAAGTAGAGAGGGTGTGGCCTTCTTTCCATCACTGATACCAATTCACGGCCGGCATCTGCAGCTACCAAGTTTCCATCATTGAGTCAGATTGCCTCTGGCCTCTTGTGTCCTTAACTATTAATATAAAGCCTCTCCACAAAAGGCTCTTTCAACAACATCTATGGCCTTGTGAGACACCCTGAAAATGCCTGGCTGTGGACCACCCTCTCCAGAGGTGGAGGAACTCTCTTAGGCTGTTGTAGGACCATCCACCTGGGCACATCAAAGCAGCCATCTTTTTTCTACTGCTCCAAGACCGTGTCGTTAACAGGAACCCATGTGGAAATGTTGGACTGTGTTGGAGTTTCCTGAGACCACCCCTTGGGTTGATGATTTGCTGGAGAGACTCACAGAACTCTGAAAAGCTATTGTTGTTAAGGTTATAGTTTATGAAACAGTGAAAGGATACAGATTAAAATCAGCAAAGGAAAAAGTGCATAGGAAGGAGTCCAGGAAAGACCAGGCACAGGCTTCCAGTTGTCTTTCCCGGAGACCTATAGGGACAGGGCTTAACTCTTCCAGTAAGAAGTTGTGACAACACATACAGAGTATCATCAACCAGGGAGCTCATACAAGCCTTGGTGTCCAGGGTTTTCATTAGGGGTTAGTCACATAGAGTGCTCAGATGACTTACCTTAACACTTGAGTCTCCAACCCCTCCTCCAGAGGTTCAACTGACACAGCGTGGCCCAGGGTCCCAGAAGAATAAAAACAGACACTCGTCATAATCCAATTGTTGGCATAAACAATCTTGCCTGGCCCCAAGCCTCAGGTCTGTAATGACACTTTTATCAGGCTGGAAATTGCAACAGCTTAGAGGTTACCTCCTAGGAGTCAGTCAAGGGCAAGATCTTTCTTTAGAATGTGTGGGATTTGGACCCCCTAAGCCTGTGGGATTAACCCTTTACTGCACACAGGCCTAGATTCCCTGGGCTCTCAGCTAAGCCCAAAGCCATGTGTGGTTTCCACTGTGTCTCCTCCCATTGGATGTGCCTCCTGTGGATAGGTCCTTGACTCAGGGCTTCTCTGCTGTTAGCCATGGGCTCGTTATTCAGTCTGGGTGGAAAAAAATGGTTCTGGCTGATCACATAGCTTTTGGCATCTGTTGTTCATGTCATCAACTAAATGACATGACACAGAGATTAGGCTTTTGAAGCTCAAAGCAGGATTCTTATAGCTAGAAGTTGTTTTTTTTTTTTTTTGTTGTTGTTGTTGTTTTCAAATTTCCAACCTTAATTTTAACTTCAGGGGCACATGTGCAGGATGTGCAGGTTTGTTACATAGGTAAACAGGTACCACGGTGGTTTGCCGCACAGATCATTCCGTGACCCAGGTATTAAGCCCCACATCCATCAGCTATTCTTCCTGATCCTCTCCTTCCCTCCACCCCCACCCTTCAACAGGCCCCAGTGTGTGTTGTTCCCCTCCATGTGTCCATGTGTTCTCACCAGCTAAAAGTAACTTGACTTTCTCACTCCTTTATAATCTTTTACCTTTTCCCCTGAGAAAAGAATGCCACCAACTAAATGGGGAAGTATGGCCCTAGAGAACAGTGCTGAGGTCAGCAGGTGGGGCCAGCAGAGAAAAAGGTGGGGGGGCTGACCTCTTTTGTGCCTGTCCCTTATTAAGGAGGAAATCCTTTCCCAGAAGTCACCAACAGATTTTAAAAAATGTCTTTATCTCATTGAAGTTGGGTCCCACTTAGACTAATTCCTGGCAGAAGAAACTGATTTTGGTGTATTTGACTTAAAGCAAACATAATGTATTCCCTAAAACTGAGTATATATCCATCAGAACAAAACCAAGATATTTCTTGAGCAATCAGTCAACAGTGTTGGCTATAATATGCATGTAAGATATAAGACTCTGCAGCCTTGTAAAGCTGCGGTGAAACTGAGTTTCCAACAGGTCAGAGAGTGACGAAATTGCAGTAGCTCTACTCCAGGGACTCCACAGCACTCTTTAGGTTGGGAAAAGCAAGTGAGTTGCTTTTACAGGTGTAAATCAGAGGGATGGAAATTATTGATGAGATAATCGAGATGGGATATGAGCAGGTATTCAGAATATATACGGTTTGCAAATGAGAATGAAGACTTCCCAATCCTTGGAGCAGTTCATAAAGGTATGTCAAAGCCTGCAGGAGCCTAAGGAAGAATGTGCTAACTTTTGAACCATGTAGATGGCTCATAAGAAATATAAATATTGAATACACTTTTGCTGCTATTAGTGGCTGCCTTCATAGTTGTGCTCAGTAATTTGCCTGAAGACCCTCAAGCCTTGCGGTGTTAAACATTGTGATTCAAAACCCAAATCTAGCCAAGGCCGTCCATGTGTTAGATGCTTCTCCACCCCAGGAGACAGGGCCTGGAGTTGGTCTGTGTGCTTGGAGCTCATGAGGCAATGACCTGAGCTGCAAATCTTCAGCTGTGCACCCACAAAGCTGCCCCAGAATCCTAGCCATAGTGTTTCAGGCCAGACCTCAACTTTTCCTCGGATCATGGGTTATACTCCAGATTTTGAACTGGACAGCTGGACAACCTTTAGGAACCCTCCCCTAGAACTGGGAAAACTCCTAAACCAAGCTCCTGCCTGACCCACTCTCCAGGCTCCACCTTTCCCCTCTTCTTTATTTGTTTATGATGGAGTCTTGCTCTGTCGCCCAGGCTTGAGTGCAGTGGTGCGATCTCAGCTCTCTGCAACCTCCGCCTCCCAGGTTCAACCAATTCTTCTGCCTCAGCCTCCTGAGTAGCTGGGACTAAAGGCGCACACCACCACGCCTGGCTAATTTTTTGTATTTTAGTAGAGATGGGGTTTCATCATATTGGCCAGGCTGGTCTTGAACTACTGACCTCATGATCCGCCCGCCTTGGCCTCCCAAAGTGCTGGGATTACAGGCGTGAGCCACAGTGCCCAGCCTCCCCACTTCTTTATTAATGAAGACAGATGTCCCAGCTCAAGAAAAGAGAGTGGAAAAACTCCTCCTTCTTCTGCCTTTCTGTTCTATCCGGGCTCTGAAAGAACTGGACGACGCCAGCCCACGTGGCTGAAGACAATCTTCTTTACTCAGTTCACTGATTCAAATGTTAATCTCTTCTGAAAACACTTTCACAGACACACCCAGAAATAATGTTTAACCAGTTATCTGGGCATCTCTTAACCCAGTCAAGTTGACACATAAAATTAACCCATCACAATGTCATTGATGAAAATTGCCTAAATAC
The DNA here is from genome assembly GCF_000001405.40 of Homo sapiens. NCBI lineage: Eukaryota > Metazoa > Chordata > Mammalia > Primates > Hominidae > Homo > Homo sapiens. Next base: position 789,982 of record NW_025791814.1, on the reverse strand, counting down.
CTCCACCCTTGTGAAATTGATAACTACCTTGTCTAACCACTTAGTTAATGATAAGTGGAAATGTTGCCTCTACATCATGCAAAATGTGACAGATAGGGAATAAATGCTTAGAGATGCTTGGATGAAATAAAGCCTTGTCCAGATGAAGAGGTTTTTGTTTTGGGCATTTGACCTTGGGAAGCAGTTCAATTAAAAAAAGAAAAAAAAAGTCCCCGTCAGTGATTTTATAGCACCTGGTAAAATTGCAAGTGATTGCTCACTTCTCCCCTGCTCCTTCACCCCTGCAATAAGCTTTGTTGTCGGTCACAGCCTTATGACCTCCTCTGTGCTGCTCATCTCACAGAGAGTGTGGAGCACCCTGGAAGTGAGACTCAAGGCCACCAGCCTTCTGCAATCTCCAGGTCTGTACCTGGAGCAAACTCTACTCTGTCTCTCTCTCTCTCCAAGTTTCCTTGCAGAAGGCACTGCTGACAGAATAGGTGAGACAAAATATAGTGAAAAGAGGAGCTGGTGCCATCCAATCCAGAGAGACAACTACCTGGCCTGCAGTGCCCTGGGCTTGCTGGCATAGCTGGGCTCAACTGAACCTTTCCTGCACAACATCTCTATTTTGTGACCTCACTGTGGCACACTCACCTCTCAAAGCGCTTCTGAGACCTCCCCTAATGTGAACTACCTTGGCATGTTTTTTTCCACCCCTGCATATTATTGTTTGTGTGTCACTGTTCTCATTGCCAGGGCATTGCATTGGGATTTCTTTGTCAGAGCACATAAAGAGGCGTATCCAGAATAGGTATCCAGCCAGCATAAAACAATGTGGCATAATGTGTTGCTAAAGTATATATATTTTAAATTCTTCTGTAGTAGTTGGTAATCAGAAATAGTTTACTTGAGACCACGCATTATCTAATGACGTTGGCCCATGGAGGCTGTGGTGGTGGTGTGGTCTTGGGAGTGGGGCTGTCTTGGAGGTGGACAGAGGTGGAGGTTCCAGGTGGGATGTGTGCAATGCCTCCTGCTGCTCTGGAGTGGGCCAGAGGTGGCAGGGACAACCCAACAGGGTGGGGGCTGAGGCTAACCTTGAGGAATTGGGGTTGGGACCAAGACAATGGTCTTTTAAGTTCAAGCTAGCTGAAAAGTGCTGGCTTCTGGGTGATGCCCAGCCCAGACACCTTCTTTTGTAACCAGATGTAGTGCACTGGCCTGATGACTATTAGCTTAATGGGAGGTCAATAAAGTGTGTGAGGCTAAATCACAGTGATGCAGAATTTTTCTCAGCCACTTTGCCAACAAGAGACCTCCATGGCTGGCGATATCCCCCTGCCTGGGCCTTGCTCAGCCCCGGGCCTGCCATTGGAGGCACCCCCACCCGCTGAGCTTGCTGTCCTATAGCTTGTACCCATGTTTGGCAGTTCCCGAGCTCCTGTCCCGTGTCCAAGAAGAATGAGGATACACTGACAATTCCAAGGGTGAGGATGGGCAGAGAAGAATTGTATTGAGTGATGGAACAGCTATCAGTGGAGAGGGGATACAGTGGGTGGTCCCCCAACCCCTCAGTTGGGTTGTTTATCTCCCAGTGTGGCTAGGTCTGGAGCTTTTTATGGACTCAAAATGGAGAGTGTGTGCTGATTGGTTTATGAGTGTGCAAAAAAGGTTAAAATGAAGACACCACTCAAAGGCACGACAGTGTAGAAAACTAATTAGGAAAGGATAGGTATATGTAAAATAGATGAAGGGTGGGGATCAATCAGAGAAAAGTGCACCAAAATGGAAAGACAGGTTCTCAATCCAGTCTGTGGATGTACCCAGGACTTATAGCTAGGCTTTAAACTGTCTTCGGCTTGAAGGTTGGGTTTCAATGGGGACCCACCACTGTCTGCCTAGGGATTTGTCTGTCTCCTGCCACTATCAACAGCTCAGCCACGGACGTCAGCTTGGGACATCTGCCCAAACGAGAGATCACCCTAGCAATTCCTAAAATCAGAAGTGTCAGGACAGTTGGGTAAACAATGCTATAGCTTCAGAAACTTGCTGAGCAGTGTGTGAGTGTGTGTGTGTGTGTGTGTGTGTGTGTGTGTACAGGGATATGTATGAAATTAGAGGAAAGTTTTTAATTACTAATTTATGTATTTGTGCAGGTTGTTGAATTATTTTAGTATCACCCCAGATATACATGCAGCACAGCAGTTATTGAATCTTTTCAGTTACTGAGTCTTTTATTTTACTTTTCCAAATTTTGCAAGTATGTGAACTACAACTGCTTTCTTTCTCTATTTATTTGTTTTCTTGCTACTCGGTGCATGTGCTGTTGCATGCACCAAGTTAATTCATTTTATTTCCCTAACAAATGTCAGTATCTCTCCCTCCCCCTATGCAGCACATCATTGCCCACTCAGCGTCACTGTTTGGCACATTCAATGTGGAAGACACATGGGTGAATCATTCCCAGCATCTGGACATTTAGAGTCAGCTGGATGCTGTTGGGTGTCTTATTTTTCATGCAGATGTGAGGCATTATATAAAGCAGCCACATTTGTATTAATGTTGAAAGGTCCTAGGGTTTCTGCATTATGAAATGAAAAATAGCTATTAGCTACTATTATCTGATGAGGTTTGAAGGTATGTAGTTCTAGAAGGAATATTTTGAATGGACATAATTTCTCAAATAATATATAGTTTTTATCCTAACTACACCAAAGATTTTGTCTTATAACTGTGCTAGCACTATTAAATTTTTGTCCTATCACTAGAAATTTTGCTATTTTAGACAAGAGAACCTGACTTTGGACTATGATTTATGTAATGGAATTTCGAGTGGTCCATTAAACTTATTTAATAACCATAAAAACTGGCATAAAATTAGCCATAATTCATCAAATCTTACATTATATTCTTAGTCTGGGATTGATGTTTAATCAGATTTTTTATTGTTTCATAACATTTAATGGGCTATTTATAATTATTTTCTCAACTATATCTGATGGAAAAATATATTACAGAAGAGTTTTTAATGTTCCAGAAATAAGGATATAAATATACAAACAGTGCTCACCCACACAGGAACTAAGGCAAAGATTGTTGCTGTTATAATTTCAGAGCAAATCGATTGGCCTTTGTAAGCTATGATTAGTGTAGACATCCTAATAACAGCGTGTGGTGAATGCTGGTCTTCTGAACTTTAACAACTCCTCCAATTCGGCCACCAATAAAGTGATGATAATAGGACTGAAAAACTTGTTCTCACAGTGATAAATTTGCATAGCCCCATGCATATTTGTGGCTTGAATTTTTCCTCCTTCAAAATCCCAGAGCAAAATTTGAACAACTTTGTGTCTTTATGATGTTATAAATTCTTGGCAAGAAAGTATAGAGTGATGGCAGAGAGCAAAGCGAAACTTTAGAAGAGAATATTGGCAGAAACCCTTGGAGACTGGTCCCGAGCTGTGTGTGCAAGTGGATGCATTCATGCATGCAGGGCATGGAGGCTCTCAGCTGTGATGGGACCCAAGAGATGGTCCAGGGCCCCTGGAGGGCCTGGAAGAGATTGGAAACAAGAGTCGAGAGTGTTCCCTGGCAGCTGAGCAAGGCCAGTCAGCCTCACTGAAATTCAACTGCACACCAGCTTTCTACTTAATATGTTAATTTTGTGTTCCATTTTCTCCTGCAATCCTTTCTGCCAGCCACTCTTCGCTTTTACATGCTTCATGTTGGAAGTCATTATTTCTGTCATCTCTAAATATTTCATCCAAGGAAGAAAAGCTAGGATATGTCTAGAGAACAGAAACTAAGTTTGTAGGAAGTTTGGTGGGCAACACGATGGACTCCAGATCAGTCAATGCCACGTGAGTTCTCTTTGCTAACAAGAAATCAGTGCTCATGGTATCAGGTGAACAGCCCCCCTTTTTTTTTTTTTTTTTTGACAGAGTCTCTCACTCTGTTGCCCAGGCTGGAGTGCAATGGCAAGCTCTCAGCTCACTGCAACCTCCACCTCCTGGGGTCAAGCCTCCTGCCTCAGCCTCCCAAGTAGTTGAGACTACAGGTGCATGCCACCACACCCAGCTAATTTTTGTATTTTTAGTAAAGACAGGGTTTCACCATGTTGGCCAGGATGGTCTCGATCTCTTGATCTCATGATCCACCTGCCTTGGCCTCCCAAAGTGCTAGGATTGCAGCCAGGAGCCACTTCTTTTAGTGATTTTCAGGATTAATTTCTAGGCCTTATGTTCCACCCTGTGTCTTTCTTTTCAATCCTAGTTTCACAGCCTGCTCCCTTCATCGGCTCAAACTTCATGGTGGTACTTTATCTCCTCCACCGCCTCCAAGAACGGTATCTTTTCATTTAGTGCAGTTAATTTTATAGGCTAAAGGCTCTAAGGTTCTAATACTTGTATTGTTTTTCACTCTGCACCCATTGTATTTTATAGAGGAAATATTTTTGATGTCCCAAGACAGTTTAAATAATTTATTGTTTTGGAATATTCCCTGGACACAACAAAATACTTTTTGCTCAATTTTTCCATTTTTCTAAATTGAAATGAATTTAGAAGTGAATATGGTAAAATAATTGTATAATAACCACTTGATTTTTTAGACCCATGACCTAATATCATCAAAACACATCACAGTGTTTTGTGAATTACAGGAGTATTTACCTCAGATAGAGAATTGGATTGTGCATTTCTAACATAAAACATGAAGAGGGGCACCGTGTATGCCTGCCTGATTGCTATGAGATTTAGGAATCGTCCTACCTATTCTTCTCATACTACTTATAGTTATAAGTCTTTACTAAATAGTGGATGCCTACTAAAAAAAAAACTGAATTAAAGCATCACATGATTCCACAAATATGGATCAGTTCCAATTTTCACTATTTTACCCTAATTCAATTAACAGCCTTCTACAGTCCAGCTGAATTTCATCTTTATGTATCATCATCTCTAATAAAACATTTTTACTCTTGGTTCATGATTTATACTGCTCTTTATCGGATACTTTACATTCAGTTATTGCATCTCTGTGGTTTCGGATGCCTGTGTAGCATACTCAATCATCAAAACTGTAAGAAACAGGGCTGATTGTTATTTCTATGCTCAAGAACATTTTCTTTAATTGCTGTGGCTTTCAGGACATCAAACAACCACCACAGAAGGAAGGGAAAGGAAATATTAGGGAGAAAGGATGCAAGAAGAGAGTACGTTAATTATTCTCAAAAGAGCCCATCATGCTCTTTCTAGGCTGTGCTAGGAAAGTGTCCTAGATTGGCAGCCCCCGGTATGTGTATGCTTCTGTGGCCAAAACCTGAAGCTGGAATAAAATGAAGTGTTTTTTTCTTGAATCTTTACTTGCAAAATTTGGTAGAAGGGTATGAGTGCTTGGCTTTAGTAACTTGAAAACAATTTTTAAAATTTGGCAGTTGTATTTTGAAACTGTTTTAAAAAGAAGAATGACTATATATCTCCTCAGATTTTAGGGATGGAACGTTTTGACTGTGAGTTGTCCAGGTTCTTGGTGCATTGAGCAAAGAACTAAACAAAATCCACAAAAAATGCAACAAGGAATGAAGCAATGAACGAAGTAACAAAAGTCCAGCTTTACTGAAGTGAAAGTACACTCTACAGAGTGGGAGCAGGCTCAAGCAAGCAGCTCAAGAGCCCCGAATGCAATGTTCTTTAGGGTTTCTATTAAGCTAAAAGAATTTGGTAACACCCCTAGGTGCCCTTTCGAGGCCTCCAGTTAGTCACACCCTATGAAAGATTGGCCCACCACCAATCAGAGGCTGAAGTGAAGACTTGGCCCACAGTGGACCAGAGGCTGAGGTGGAAACTACTGTTTTGCCATCACAGGAGTGAGGGCATGGCCTGTGTGCTAATCTTTCCTAGAACTGGCCGAACCTGCTGTTTTCTTGCTTATGCCTTAACCCTTGGTTACCCTAAACCCTATTCTCCTGCCTCACCATTGGTTAGCTATCCATTTTCTATTTTCACTCACTCTGATGAGGGTCCCAACTACAGATAAACCACTTGACTCACCAAACACTGCTTGCTGAAGTGAGAAATGTCATAAAGTTATCTGAGTTTGGCTTTGTACTCTTTTATTTGAAAGAGCGTGTTCATCCATTAACCCATCCATTCAGAAAGCATTTATTAAGCACCTGCTGTGTGCTGGCTTTGCTCACTCTGCCAAGCTGTGAAATCTGTTTCTCTAGGCGGAGTTCTGAAGTCACCCACATTCTGAATCTCAGTCTTGGACCAACTGAATTAGAATGTCTGGGCTGGGGCTTGGGAAGTTGGGAGTTTAACAAGATCTGCCATGGTTTTTATGCATGGTGAGCCTGCTGGTCTCAATTGAACAAATGTGGATGGAATGAAGCATGGATTAGTCTGTTCAGGCTGCCGTAACAAAATCCACAGACTGGGTAACAAAAACAACATAAATGTATTTTCACACATTCTGGAGGCTGGAAGTCCAAGACTAAGTGTTGGCAAGTTTGGCCTCTCCTTGGCTTGCAGGTAGCTGCATACTCATTGTGTGCTCACATGGTGTTTCCTCTGTGCACACATCCCTGGTATCTCTGTGTGTGGCCAACCTTCTTATGAGGACACCAGTCATTGGATTAGGGCTCACTTTAACAGCCTCATTCTAACTTGAAGACTCTGTCTACAAATCTGATTCTACTGGGACTGAGGGCTTCAATATATGAATTTTGTTGGTGAGACACCATTCAGCCAACAGCAAAGCAAAAGAGTCCACTCTTGGCCGGCATCCCAAATTAGTTGAACCTCTGCCATCTCAAGCCAGAGCTTTGCAGTCCACTCTGAAATTGGTGGGTGACCTGTGGAGGTAGTTTCTCCCCTGAGAGCTTCTCAGTGCACAGTTAAGGCTCTGAAGTCCTCCTGAGCAGCTCGCGAAACTGAATTTAAACCAAAGTTTTCTACAATAATTTCACCATGACCCTCTGATGTTTGCAAAATTTCTGTTCTCAAACAGGTTGCTCACTTGTAAAATATGTTGTTTCTCCAAGCTAGAGAAAATAAAACAAGAAGAAGTCAGGCCCCTTCCTGAAGGCCACCCAAATGTGACTTAGAGATGAGATATCAATCTGTCTTACTCAGTTCAAGACAGTAGGAAAAACATTGTGTATTTACAGGCAGTAGCCATCAGACAGATCTTATTCCTACATATCTGAGCTGCACTCTGGAATTTTATCATATTAATCTCTAGTGTCTCTTCATCTACCCACCCCGCCACTCATCCCTCTAATAGAAAACAGTTTTAGTTCACTCCAGAGACTGCAGCAGGTGCCAGGAGCCTGAAACACACAGCAGCCCCAGCCTATGTATCCCAGAGCCCTGAGTCCAGGCTCTATGCTCTTATCAAAGCAAATACAGAGCCCATCACTGGGTCTCCTGGGAGGCCCTCTGCCCTGGTGATTCTCATTCTCATCACACATCAGAATCACAGGAGGCTGTAATCTTTGAGAGGCCAAGGTGAGCCAATTGCTTGAACTCAGGAGTTCAAGACCAGCCTGGGCAACATGGCAGAACCCCCAACTCTACTAAAAAAATAAAATAAAAATTAGCTGGGCATGGTGGCAAGCACCTGTGGTCCCAGCTACTTTGGGTGGCTAGGGTGGGAGGATGGCTTGAGCCTGGGAGGTGAAGGTTGCAGTGAGTTGAAATCACACCACTGCACTCAAGCCTGGATGAAAGAGCAAGACCTTGTCTCAAAATCATTTTTAAAAAAATGAAAATAGAATTACAGGAGAGCTTGTGAAGAGGCAGATCCCTGGACTTCATTCCTCACCTCTGGAACCAAAAACTCCTGTAACTGGGGGCAGAAAAATTTCTCTTTTTGGAAGCTCTCCAGGTGATTCTAGTTCTAAACCATGGCTCTTTCCGGTGTAATTTCTCAGTACTCCTAATGGGTGCTTTTAACTATGACCTAGATCAGCTGCTCCCTCTTGCTTGTGCTGGATACATACTTATCGTGCCTCTGTTCCAGCCATGTCACCCTGCTGTGCTCTCCGCCTCCAGTGTTTCTTCATTCTTTAGACTAGCACCTGCCCCTCTTCACCAGGGAAGCCTGCATCATGAGGAACACCAGTATTGAAGTCTTCATCTCTGTGTTCCTTCAGGGCTGTGGAGTCCAACAGCCAGGGCCCAGCTGTGCCAGTACAAGATGTATCACCCTGGACAAATATTTACCCTCTCTGAGCCTTGATTTTCCCATCCCAATCCACAACAGGAATACATGAATATAATCTTTGTTTTTTTTTTTTTTTTTGAGACAGAGTCTCTGTCACCCAGGCAGAGTGCAATGGCGCAATCTCAGCTCACTGGAACCTCTGCCTCCCGGGTTCAAACAATTCTCCTGCCTCGGTCTACCGAGTAGCTGGGATTACAGGCACTGGCCACCATGCCCAGCTAATTTTTGTATTTTTAGTAGAGACGGGGTTTCACCATGTTGGCCAGGGTGGTCTCGAACTCCTGACCTCGTGATCCACCCGCCTCGGCCTCCCCGTAGTGCTGGGATTACAGGCATGATGAGTGTAAACTTTGAAATACATATTAACTTGGCTTTTATCAGTGTGTAGTAAGGCTCTCCATGTCAGAGTAAATAAATCCACCAAATAGGAGTCAAATAAATTCTTATCTGAAAATCCAAGCCTTAAGATTAGGATATTCTAGAACTTCTCTTCTAGATATTTTCAATCATGTTGAATCTCTTGTGTTACATATTTAAGAGAAGGAGAAAAGAAAGCTTCTTTTGAAAGCCTGTGACCAAAAGAAAGAACTGGAACCAGCAAAAGCAAATTGGTTTGTTTTCACTCAAATAACCGTCTGCTTGACTTAAATGTGATCTGGCAAATGGGCATTGCTACAGGAAACAAAAGGCTTCTTTTGAGCTTCTAGAGAAAGAGAAAGCATCCTGAATACTTAATCAAGATACCTTTTCCTACAATTAGTGGAAACCAGCTCATGTCTGTTTTCTCTCGCCCCGTTTCCTTGTATAACACTCATCTAGCTGCTTCCGTGAGGTAGATTTAAACGTCCACCACCCAGACCACACCCATGGGGCCACCAACATTCTAGAGCAGCTTGCTCTGTGCATCTTATCCACACTGCCATGCGCTCTGTTTATCTCATTAGAAAAACCCTTGCATATTTACTAAAGGCAAGAGGCAAAATAAACGCTGAGTTACATATGTAAAATTCCATGCAGCATCGTTCTCCTATGTATTACTAGGTTTGGTTATTTTACATGAAGACAGTTTCTTTTTACACAAACAGTAGGGCTCTTATGCAGTTGTTCTCTTTCAACATGAACACAATAGACTAGATAATGTTGTCTGTTTATATTTCTTTCCGAAAGTAGGAATAATTTCCTAAATTGCTTTCACGTACTGTGTAAAACACCGTAGAAGTTCTGAGGCTTATCTGACATCTCATTGTCCCCTGGTGTGTGTGTGCGTGTGGTGTTTTTGTGTGTGTGGGGTGTGAGTGTGGCAGAGAGGAAAGGGGAGCTGTTTGATTCTGTAGTTCCTTTTCTGCCTTCTTCCTTTCTCTGTAAACTTTGGATACTTATCCAAATTACTAACGGCAGATTGAGCCCTATGCAGATGGCATGTGTCTGTGACAACCTCTGCTCTCCACATCTCTTGGGCCTGTTTACCTGCGCTCCCAGAGCCTCCGCCAGCATCCCAGAATCTCCATCCCCATCTCTCACTTATACACACATCAGTCATCGGTTATCCATTAGCTAAACCGCCTTCCTTAATAGCTTTACACTGTTTGCTTTCTCTGGAACATTTTTAGTTAAAATTTCATAATGCAGTTGCACACAAATGAAGACACAGATGGCTGCATCCTCCGTCTCTTCCCCTCGTTTACAGGAAGCTGCGGATCAGGGAGGGGTGTTAGGGTTACCCACATGGTAAGGGCAGAGACAAGAGGGGACCCCAGTTTTCCATGCTGCACATGGTCATTGCTGGGGACTGAGGTTTGCACATCACCCTGCCCTGTTCTCCCTCCGCTGGGGAGAAAGTCAGGGATGGAGCAAGCTGCAGCATCTTCTGAAAAAGAAAAGGTGGCCTTGTCTCCAGGTCTCCCCTCAAGTCCCACCTTCCCATAGTTTTCTGCCACTTCTCTTGATTTTCCTCTCTGCCACTTCTCTTGATTTTCCTCTCTGCAGCTGCTTTGAGGTGGGTTTTCTCCAGATGCACACTTTCCCCTGCTTTGCGTCCTTATTCTGGTAGAAGCACAATCTAAAGCTCATTAAGGGAACTAATCAATTCTGTGCATGGCGCTAGCTCAGCAGATCACCACACAGGCAGCACTATTAGCAAGTCGGTGCTTAACACATGGCACTTCCATGAATCGATATGGAGCCCGTGTAGAACAAGGCATGGGTTTTTTTCTCCTCCCATTAAGAAAAACTGATGCCAAAAATAACTTCTCAGATATTTTCAAGTATGACTTTTATGGAGGGAAAAAGCATTTTTGTTTGCAAAATCATGCTTCAATGCAGGCCAGTTGTGAATTGTGATGGCTTTTATTTCTCCTGGGGCTGTAACTTTAAGGGTTTAGAATTTGGAACCACAGCCTAGCTAATCATGACACACACACACACACACACATGCACACACATACACATACACAAAGCATCACGAAGAACCATACAAATTGTACATTATTTTACACATGGAGGCTCACTCTAAAATAGATACCATTTTAAATATTAACTAAAACTTGTGCTCATTGTATGTTCATTCTATATGTACTGATTTGTTATTCACATTTCTTTCAAAATCGTTCAAATTTCTAGCCCACATCAATTAAATATTAATAGTACTTTCTACAAACATGAGCGCACAAAATAAATTCAAATCTATTTTTCCCACTGGTGTTATCAGTACTGCTCATACTTTGTCAGTATCTAAGTATCACATGATCTTAAAACTAATGTCACATACTAAAAAGCTTCTGAGGCAAATTGTAGAAAGAACTCTCAACATCATTGTTCTACTGGACAACATACATAAAATTATTTTACAGTGATGGGAGAGAAATAGGCTCCTCATCCTAAAAGCTGCGAAGACAGTAGCGGTGCCGTGTTTTGGCGTTACTCCCCTGTGGATCCCAGCGACGGGTGGATTTCTCCTGTGCTTTATCATCAGACACAAAATGGACCAAAATGGACCAAAATGGACGAGTGTGAGGGACACAGAGGCTGCTGTAAAAAAAAAAAAAATGCAGGATATTTATGGGTCTATGACGACCCAAATAATGAGCAAACATGGGAATCCCCTGCTGAAAAGCTGTCACAGAACTGAAGCCTGCCTGGAAATATCTTGAGAATGTTGATATCATTTTAATAGGATCTAAAATGAGAATTCTATCAATATAAAACAGGGAGAAGGGCCTCCTTCTATTTTTAAAAATACCCAACATTCATGTTTTTCATATTTTCCTAGCCTATAATTACTCTTAATCAAAGCACAACAAATAGTAAACAGTAAAAATGAAATAAATGTGGTGACAGTTTGCCAATAACGAGGAGAAAATGTCCCATCTGTCTAGCCGCGAGTAAAATGGGTGTAATTACCGCTCATTTTTCTCGTAATTGCTGAGTTATTAGTTTAAAGCTTACACACAACTGGTGAACAGTGAGTACTACCCATTCCGTAATTACAGCCCCAGCCTCGCCGTGCTTGAAATCAGGGAATGCAAGAGCAGAGGAAACGATCTGAATTAACCCTGACTGCTTGCACAGAATTGTGACTGTCTATCTTATATTTAAATTTTATAAACTCTGAGTTCCTTTGCTATCCAAATGTTAAACTGGAATGTTTGCAAATCCAGCTTGAATTCTAATTTGCTTTTAAGCTATAGTCTTGCATCTGCTTCTAATGGTGAATGCATAAATTCATTTTTGATAGAAATAATCCATGCAGACCACCACCCTTTGCATTGCATTTGTTAAAGTTATGCATGGTTCACTGATATGCAGGGGTCTGTTAGCAGTTATGTTACCATCTCGTTACCAGGGAAATTCCATTTGAAAGTTTAGGATTACACATGGGTAGTCAACACCTGACGTACACAGCAGGGCAAATACAGAAAAAAGAATCTCCCTTGATTGTTTCTGTTTATTACAAATCAAAGATTAAGACAAATAGAGCTGTGGTTTATTTCTTCTTCCAGTATGTTATTTTATCTCTGAGATTCACCTAAGAAAGACTAAGTTCTATGATGTTCTCATAGAACTATAGCTACTTTTGCCTAAAATGCTGATATCATTTTAATAGGATCTAAAATGAGAATTCTATCAATATAAAATGGGGGCCGGGCATGGTGGCTCATGCCTGTAATCCCAGCACTTTGGGAGGTCGAGGTGGGTGGATCACCTGAGGTCAGGAGTTCAAGACCTGCCTGACCAATATGGTGAAACCCCATCTCTACGGGGTTTTTTGTAAAACTACAAAAATTAGCCAGGCGTGGTGGTGCGCACCTGTAGTCCCAGCTACTTGAGAGGCTGAGACAGGAGAATTGCTTGAACCTGGGAGACAAAGGTTGCAGTGAGCCAACATCATGCCATTGCACTCCAGCCTGGCTGACAGAGTGAGACTCTGTCTCCAAAACAGAAAAAGAAAAAAATTTATATATATATATATAGATATATATTTATATATATTTATATATGTATATATTTATATATATTTATATATATATTTATATATGTATATATTTATATATATTTATATATGTATATATTTATATATATGTATATATGTATATATTTATATATATTTATATATTTATATATATTTATATATTTTTATATATTTATATATATTTATATATATTTGTATATATTTATATATATATTTATATTTATATATTTATATATATATTTATATTTATATATATTTATATATATATTTATATTTATATATATTTATATATATATTTATATTTATATATATTTTTATATATATTTATATTTATATATATTTATATATATATTTATATTTATATATATTTATATATATATATTTATATTTATATATATTTATATATATATTTATATTTATATATATATATTTATATTTATATATATTTATATATATATTTATATTTATATATATTTATATATATATTTATATTTATATATATTTATATATATATTTATATATTTATATATATATATATATATATGAATGAGAAGGGCCTCCTTCTATTTTTGAAAAATACCCAACCTTTATGTTTTTCATATTTTCACATTCTAGCAAAGGTAGATTTTCTGGGTTACCTCTCTTTGGGGTCCTGTCTTTGGTCTATACAGGGAACTGTAACTCACCACAGACAGAGATAGTGCTGAGATGACAAAGCTGGGCTTGATTCCGCTTGGATCCCTGGCTTCTCAGCCATTCCTGATGAACCTTTTATTAGCTGCCTGTCTCTGATCCGGGAACACTGATGACAGGTGCGTTTATTTTGAGGGAGCATATCCTCAAGCTATGGAGTGGTTGTTGAATGAGATGTTGTGAAAAAAAAAAAAAAAAAGTCATGAGACCCCCGGCCAAAATCCTCAGACTAGCGTGGCATTTTTTTTTTCCTAGCAAGTTATGTCATTTAATTTATAGATATAGAAGTGGAGACAATGAAAATATAGCATAGTATGTTCATTTCCTTCCTCTGAGCCTGAGTGATGCCAAGGCATATTTTTCTATGTTAGAGGGACTACCCTGGAAAAAGGAATGGTTATAGTAAAATTTGGTATGGAAGATTCACTGATACGAATCTCACATTTTCGGAAAGAGAGGAGATGAGGAAAGGACTTGGTGATGATCAAATATAACCTAAGAATCAAAGTTATTTCCATTCCTGGCTGCAGAAGCAGTGAACCACCCCCTTCCTTCTTCCCTCTCTTTCTTTCTCTCTCTCTCCCTCTCTCTCTAATATTTAACCTCTTGGTTGAGATAAGCTGGTGAAAATCATGGAAATGTATTTTTAAAATCTTCATTCTAAGCCCCCGAGAACCACAGTATGCCAGATTCCTTTGAGCTCCGCATAAATGTCTTGGCTCCGTGAACCACGTGCATCTTATGCATAATCCTTTGGTTGTGCGCGCCAGCTGGGCAGCAGAGATAGCGAGTGCTGGGGTCTTGCAGCTTTAAAACTGTGCCCAGGCCTCACTCAGAAGTAGGAAAATGAAATGAGCATTTGCATAATCTATCTCGAGTTACCCAGGTTTCTTTCAATCTTCTTATCACGTTTTTAAAAAAATCTATTAAGAGAATATTAGAACAAAATGCATTTTTCTCTTCAGAGAATTCATTTTGCCTGCGTGTTTGGGTCCTATAGGGCTTTTCATTTGTTTTAGTTTTTTAAAATGCCTTAAGAAAAATTTTTAGGAGTTTACTTTGTTCCTACTCTTCTCTATTTGAGTCAGCAACACATATTTAGATTAATTCTTTTGACTTGGAAGTGCAGTTCTGAGCGATTACAAAATTTTTATCTAAAAAGGCTCTAAATGAATTGAAGTTGTGAAAATTGTGATAATTTATTTCCTGGAATTGAAATACAGAGAGAAACTAAAATACACACCACATTTTAATTCAGTGTTAATTTCTCCCATTTGCTTATAAAAGAAAACATGGTGCAGATCTTGTGTACTTGAAATAACTGTCCACACATTCTCAATCCACAGTCACGAATCAGACACACACACATGCACACACATGCACACACACCTGCCCACGCACACACCGGCATACACTGCTAAAGTAACAAGCTTGCTCTCCAGGCCTGTGCTGCCAAGGCTGGCTGGCCAGACTGCCTGCCTCCCTCTCTCTTTCTTTCTTAACTAGATTATTTTCATTAACTCTACTTTCTAAATCTTTCTTTACCTCGGTAGCAATTTGCAGCTGCATCATTTACTGACACGTGTTTCTTGAAGTTCCCTAGCAGGCACTGAGTTTTGAAATCCAGCGGTCTCCAGTGTCTGGCCCGCACACCAGCATTTGGTACTGCTGCCCTGTCCTTTTCCCTCCTGCTGACATCCCTCCCTCCAGGCTGTCTGCTGTGTGTCTTCGCTTTCTCTTCTTTATTTTCCCCTTTCTCTCCTGTCGATGGGATTTCCCTTCTTTCTTCTGCCTTGTCTGTCCCCTCTCTGTGTCCCTTCTTCCTTGAATGGTGACCTACCTCTCTACAGGCTGTTCCCAGATGCCGTCATTCTTTCATTTAACACAGAAGTACTAAGAACTCATCTGTACCTGGTGCTATTCCAGGGGCTGGAAGACTACAGAAAATTTTAGAGAGACAAAATTCCTATCTTTGTGAAACTTATATTCCAGTGGGAGCAGGCAGACAACTACTAAAATAAACATGTAACATGCTATGTTTGATGAAAAGTGTTGTAGAGAAAAATAACTCAAGGAAGGGTGATAGTAGGTTGAGGCTGTTTAATGCTTTAAACAGGATGGTTGGTGAAGGTTTCTGAGAGGTGGACGTGGGTGCAAAGACACCCTTTCTTCTCGCTCAGTTATTACCAAAACGGAAAAATCACCACGTGCCTGTGCTGAAGACAACCTTGTAGATACACAGGCTTCAAATGAATACACTGAAGTTCACACATTTCTTTAACCTGGGATGTCCCAAATATTTCTTTTTAGATTTGTACATATTTTGTTTTACTGATAGCTTATTTGATGTATTAAGATACTATTACAGAGAACAGGAATTTCTAGGGCATATTGGGAATGAAAAGTATGGCCATCGTGTTGCATCTGAGCTGTGGGTCCCCATAGAAATGTGAAGAGATGAGGGAAAAGGATAAATCTTTGGAGGAAGAGTGTTGTAGGCAAACAGAACCGTAAGTGCACAAGTGGGAGTGTAGTACCACTGCATGCTGGTAGAAGCCTTGGTAGTGAAGAGCTGAGTGGGGAAACACGGTTCCGTCACAAAGTCCCTCTGTGTGCAGACAGAGGCTGATGCCAGCTCTATGCCTACTGCCAACCGCTGCCACCAAAAATTACGGACAGAACAAGAGGAACAAAAGCCACAGAGCTGGTCTGAATCTCATTCCTGAAACATCTTTCCTCTTATTGTTTTCAAACTTTCTGTGTTTTGAAAGTTCTTAAATGTAACTCTTGTGCTTTTACTCCTCCATTAACCGTTCATCAAGTCGTCTTTCAATAAAGAGACTTATATGTTGTGTCTTTGAGATTCCTTTATATTGGGAT
Organism: Homo sapiens; assembly: GCF_000001405.40. Lineage (NCBI taxonomy): Eukaryota > Metazoa > Chordata > Mammalia > Primates > Hominidae > Homo > Homo sapiens. The sequence continues at coordinate 773,733 of NW_025791814.1, read as the reverse complement.
ATAAAGGAGCATATCCCACTAAGGAATAAATAGCTGCTAGGCTTTCTCTTTCTTTCTATTTGTTAGGCTATGTTCCTGGGTCGAGAATAAGAAATAGTAAACCCTTTGTGTCCTCCCTTTGGGAGAAGACCACCTTATACAGCAACAACATGGGATCTCTGGGGCGCATCATTCCCTGGGAGGCTTCCCAATCTAATAGGAGACTGCCTCCCTTTGGGAAAAGACAACCTTGTGTTTTCTGTGTATGGTTCATTCCAAGTTACACACATCCAAGCATCTTACACCATTGAACACGCTCTCAAAATTCACTCCAGGCATTTGCGTTTTGACTCCATGCATCCCCATCAAACAGTTCTTAGCCTACAGTCCTGACGGAGGCCCATCTGAGCAGCCATCTTATTCTCAATGTCTAGCTAACCCCTCCTTTCTTCTCACTCAGTTATTGCCAAAATAGAAAAATCGCCATGTGCACGTACTGTACGTGGCTGTGGATACACAGGCTTCAAATGAATACATTGAAGTTAACACATTCTTTAATGTGGGATGTCCCAAATATTTCTTTTTAAATTTGTACATATTTTGTTTTACTAATAGTTTATTTGATTTATTAAGATGCTATTTACTGAGAACAGCAATTTCTAGGACATATTGGGAACGAAGAGTATAGCCATCTTGTTTTATCTGAGCTGTGGGTCCCTGCTCTTGCAGAGAGATGTGGAACTGGGTCTTGCTGTGAGATCTTGTGAAGTCACCGCCTTCCTCTCAGGACCACCGCCATTTGATTATACGTTGTGTGCATTCCTTCACGTGACCATGTGCCAGATGCAATAGAAAAAGTCGTTTCAGACTGCCACTCTCTGCTTCCAAAACCCAAGTATCACATTGGTTGGAATCGATGAAAGTAACTGTCACCCAGCATTTGTGTTCGCTGGTGATGATGTATTAAATAGGGAAGAACCACAGGCTGGGAGGACATCAGTAAACAACCTAAAGGGGGTTTTAAATAGCAAATCAATATGGAACAACGGATGTAGAAAATTACCAGGAAATGGATAATTAAGTTCCTGCCATGCTCTTTTACAAAATCTCTGAGAATAAATTCTCTTAGGACAAATAAAGAGGAAAAGTGATGCCCATGAAAACCTTAAGGAAATGATTGAGTGTTGGTGCTTAAAGTGATGGAGTATCGGTGGTGTCATAGTGTGCAAAGGGAACCCACAGCCTCTTGAAGGGATTCGCACATGGTCACGTCCATCTTTCCATTCCAGTGGCGCTGGGCTTCCTGTGGATGCAGCACAGTTAAGTGTAGTGGTCTTTCTAAAAGCACCGCACAGGTGCTTGTCAATCAACGTGGAATGAAAGCCACCGGCCTAGGGATGAAGAGTGAGTGAGACCTCTTGCATTTTCCGACTAAGCAATTTCAGTGCTGTCGTGTGATCTTGTTATTCCAATAAGCAAAACACGTTATTTTATTTTGGGCTCAGTGTTGGATATACTGAAAACAATGATAATAACCAGCATTTACTATGGAGCACATACTGTGTCCCAGGAACTGTCGTGTCCTTTATATGTTTTACCTCGTTACTGAGTGTGTGTGTAAAACAGCTCTTTATTATGTGAGCAGAACAACTCCCCAATATATGTGTGATAGTAGTGTGTCTTTTAATACATTTGTGTATGCATATGTATATATAAAACAACTGTCCTCTCACCCTCCCCCCACCCAATTTCCTTTTATTCTTGTAAACGACTTTCTCTACCTCTTCATTTTTTTATTTACAGAATGACAAGTATTCATAAAGCCAGGTATAGGCAGATTCTATCAGTTGGCTACAATAGCTGGATTTGTCTTGGGGGTAGTTTTATTTATTATTTTGCCCTCCTATTTCTGACAGGCTCATGAACCCCTGAGCACTGGGGTCAGCATAGACCTGGTCAGCAGCCTTGGAAGCCAGCATAGCTCTTTGGAGGCCCCATGCCCAGGGCACTACCCTTGCAAACTCAGAGCTGTAAAAGGATGCCCTCTTCAACTGCGTGGACGCGTGCTGTTCAAATGCACCTTCTCACAGAACCTGTGCAGTAGCGCAGGGAGGCAGACTTTGTCAGAATTGTACCCACATTTTACTAGGAAAGCACCAACATGCAGACAGTCTGAAGAACTTGCCCATGGTGGCGAGGATAGTGTCAAAGCCATGGCCTCTGTTGCCATCACCCTTTATTTTTCCTTCTGCACCACAAGCCCATGTCTCCTGATATGACTGGGAAGCCTCATGGGGAGTGAGGTTCCCCACAGAGATCAGATGTGTTGCTGTATAACTTCCTACTTTGGGACAGAGATAAAATGGATGACTTCTTTGGCCCTCCCAGTCCTGAGATTCTATCATCCAGATTCATTCCAGTAAACATGGAACACCACCTAAATGTGCTGGAGTGAACAGAGTGATTGTTTCCATGACTGATTTCAGTGTCTTAATTCCTTCTCACCAATTCCATGACTGTGGGGCCTGAGGGACAGGACAAAAGAGTAGACCCAATACTGGGAAGTCTTATTGGGTTGCAGGGGTGCTCTGAGTCAGCTGGAGGAAAACGGTGAATCACCCATGCAAGCCCAGAATCCCACCCAAAACCATGCCCAGAATTCAGACACATTTTATTTTAAAGAAATAACAAAAGTGGTTGAATGAGGCAAGATGTGGGAGTGAAAGACTGGACCTGATGGTGACAGCTAGGGAAAGGAATCTGAGCTGCTAGAGCAGTTCAGTAGCTGGCTCAATTATCAAGCGGTGAGATTTGCTGGCAAGAGTCAAATAAGGAACAAGAAGACAAATGACATGGGGCAGATAGAGCTGCACTGTGGCAGAGCTGATCTGCAGGCTGGTGGAGCAGAGGAGGGGAGCCACTGAGCCATGCAGAGAGGCCACGTATAAGATAATACGAAGTGACTTGGCCAAAATGTGTAAGCACAGAAGGTTCATTGCTGGCATACACAATTTCTGCTACATAACATGGTGTCCTTAATGGCCATAACTGCTGAAAAGCACAGGGAGAAAGTGGATGTTATCTAATTTATAAAATGATAATACTTTTATTATCCAGATTGATGACAGATGCTCCAACCCCCAGAGTCTTTCTCTCCTTGGCCCCTTGACCTGAATTCTTCAAGCGGGGACTTCGTTTCATAGCCTCTGAGCCCATTCTTTCTTCCCCCAACTCCCTCAAAAATCAAATTACATTGTAATGATCTGTCCACCTTTGGGTGACACTCTACCGTGTTCATCTGAGACTCTCTCCAGCGTTTTTGTTTGTGTCCAGGCTTCCAGGAAAGCTGATGGGGTCTACATGCACTTTTCCTATATCCCCCACTGACAAGTACAGTGAAGGCCGAATGCTCAGTGAACAGTAACTCTCTGCCCTAAATCCAGGTGGGTGATGGATCAACACTGAACTTTTATTTATTTATTTTTTTAGAATATATTACTTTGGCTGGGCGCAGTGGCTCACGCCTGTAATCCCAGCACACTGGGAGGCCGAGGAGGGAGAATCACTTGAGGTCAGGAGTTCAAGACCAGCCTGGCCAACATGGTGAAACCCTGTCTTTACTAAAAATACAAAAACTAGCTGGGCATGGTCACGTGCACCTGTAATCCCAGCTACTCAGAAGGCTGAGGCACGAGAATCTCTTGAACCCTGGAGACAGAGATTTTTGTTGTGGTAAAATATACATAACATAAAATCCACAATTTGAGCCATTTTTAAGTGTTGACTATACACCATTTAAAGCAACAAAAATGTTTGCAAATTCGGGTTTTATCCAACAATGCATGCATTTCCTGTAGATTTTATTCTCACCTCACCTCTGTATGAACTCTCTGCCTCTGCTTCTGTCAAATGTGTCCGTTCCCTAATATTAGACATACTTTGTGCTTTCCTGCTTAATTAATTGTTTATACAGCCCTTCTCTTTCCTTTTCACTTCTGCTTTCCTGGCCACCACACCTCTTCCTGTTGGGCTCCATGGTAGACATCCATCAGCATTTACTCCTTGCCTCCCAGGGAATCTAGGTCATAAAGGGCACCCTCTTTGTTTATAGCACTTAATAGTAATTGTAACATCTCTATGTTGTCTATATTGTCATTTACCTCTTCTATTAACTATTCACATGCTACCAGATAACTTCTTTTATTAATCTGTATGTATATGTCAGGTTCTATAGTAGATGCCAGGTCTCCAATAGTAAATATGAATATGATTATTAATATTAAATATGATTTGTCTCCTTTTCTCATGGAAGTTTTATACTCTGGACAAAGGGCAGACATTGAACAATCACTGTATCAATCAGAATAGGCTATGTTGTGGTAGGCTAACAACCTTCAGCACCTTCGAACAACAAAGGCTGATTAATTTCTTGCTTACTCCATTTGCCCTGGTGGCTCAGCTGTGACTTTCATGGTCCTTACTCATGGACCTTCCACACTGAGGGAGCATGCTGCATCTGGGGAATTTTGGATATCAGGAGCACTGAGAAAAAGAGAACACAGTAAGTCTCAAACTAGCTCTTAAAACTCCTTCCTCACTTCTCCTCTTGTTTCATTGGCAAAAACAAGTGACACGGCCAGTTCTGGCTTCAATGGTTGATAGATATGTAATCTTCCCCTGAGGAGTTTGGGTATCGTTTAACTGGATATACAGGCTATACATACAAATGCACAATTGCACATTTTTATGAGACTCAAAACCCTTCCAAAGTAAATTTGATTACTTCTGTTTGAATTTGGTTTTGAATTTTCTAGAATTAAAGGGTTCGAAGAAATGTATAAGGATAATCTTGTCCAATCCCAAATGGTTTGACCCATGACTCTCAATCTCTGGGCCTCTGCATAAGAGTAGAGACTAAATTATTTTATAGGACAAGAAGTAGAGTAAACATCCTAAGTGCTTGCCATAGAGTAAGTAATATCACACACACACACACACACACACACACACACACACACACACACCACACACACACATACTACACACACATACACACACAAAAAGATAGATATATAGGGCTGGGTGCAGTGGCCAGGGAGGCCGAGGCCGGCAGATTGCTTGAGGCCAGGAGTTTGATACCAACCTGGGCAACATGTCAAACCCCATCTCTCCAAAAAAATTACAAAAATTAGCTACATGGTGGTGCATGCCTGTAGTTGCAGCTACTCAGTAGGCTGAGTTGAGAGGATAACTTGACCCCAGGAGGCGGAGGTTGCAGTGAGCTGAGATCGCACCACTGCACTCTAGCCTGGGTGACAGATCAAGACCCTGTCTCAAAAAACACAAGAAAAGATAGATAGATAGATAGATAGATAGATAGATAGATAGATAGATAGATAGATAGATAGCAAGTGCTTATACCATGGACCATTCTAAATGTTTTTCATCTATTAACTCAAGAGTCAACAAACTTTTTCTGTAGAGTAACAGACACTAGATATTTTAGGTTTTGTGGGCCATGAGATCTAGGTTATTACTACATAACTCTGCCACTGCAGTGCAAAAGTGGCCACAGACAATACATAAACAAATGATCTTGGCTGTGTTCCAATACGGATTTATTTACAAAAACAAACAGTGAGCTGGTTTGACCTCTGTTTTAACTTAGTTTATTCTGATGACAACCCTACTGTTATCCCCATTTTATAGAAGAAGAGGCCTGTAGAGGTACAGTAATTTGTAGAAGTGCAGTTGAGGCTTGTAGAGGTTCAATCATTTGTCAAAGTTCTCTCATCTGGTAAGTGGGGGAGCCAGGCTTTCACAAAGGCAAGTTGGCTCCAGGGTTCATGATCCCAACTGTTAGGATTCATTTCTTCTCTAATAATGCTACTCTGCTGAATTCAGTTAAGCTATCGAAGTATGGATCAGAAAAGAGGGTTGGGCTTCCAATATATTTGCTCATTTTATGGATGATCTTTTCTGTCTACAAAGACAAAAGACACAAATTATTTGTGGTTTCATTGTGCTGGGGTTGTGTGATTTACTGAGCCACACTAAATACACAACAAGGTGGTATACAAAGTGGTCAAATGTACCATCTGAATCATTCTTGACATACACGGACACACAACTTTGGGGGTCTTCAAGTTTCCTTCTACCCTTCCCAGCAGGGTAGAAGAGAAGACAAAAACACAGCAGAAAAACTCTGTCCAAGAATGGGAAAGAGTAGTTATGGCATGCTTAGGTGGTGGGAAACAGCTGATTTAAAGTTAGTAAATCTGAATCCAAATAATGGTTCGATTTCTCTGTGCAACCATGCTTAAATCCCCGTGCTTCTCCAAATCGGAGCTTTCACGTCTGAATCATGGAGATAGTATATCTACTAACAGATGTGCTGTGAATGATAAAGGAGTTTAAGTAAGTGCAAGTGTTGGCTAAATTACAGCATCTTATAGATATATGTAAAGTCATCGCTATTACTGGATTGTCCTTAGAAATAAGGGTTTTGCTTTTGTTGTATTTCAAGGTGACTTAAGTATGGTTGACTGCATATAGAAAAGGAAGAATCCAAACATGTACTCGCTGTAATTGAGTCTTTAAATTGCATATTTAAAGAAAATTACTAGCTTTTAAAATCCCAAGTGATTTTAGAGAAGACTCACAGAATTGTTAAGGCTTTCCACAACATATTTACTCATATAGTGGGGGTGGAAGGAGTTGGATTTGCCCTTGTGGTTTTCATAGAGTTGACAGCTTTTCTTGCCTATTCCACAAGTTCTAATGCTACATAATTTTTAAGATTTGGTCCACTCAGCTATCACTGTGATCTCCCAACTTAAATCTGTTATCAATTTTTCAGTCCTCTCCTAGTTCTTTGCATTCACTTCTATTTGCCACAGGTTATTAGAGTTATTTGTCCATTCATTCAACTAACGTGTGGCTGTCTATTATGGAGAGGCAGTGTACTAGATGTTAGGGACACAAAGCTCATGAAGTAGATATGGCTTCTGTCCTCAGTCGGTGTATCTCTCAGTCAGAATCTGTTACTTGAGGGGGCAGCTGGAGCTCTTTCTCCCTTCCTAGTAGGCTGAGCATATGGAAACCAGATTCCCAGTTAATTTTAGTTGTTGTTTTCTTGATACGTAAAGAAAAGATCCATAAACTCAAGATGCTTTCTTATGAATCAAGTTTTCAAGTTTTATAGCATTCGCTTTGTACTACTTGTTTTGACCCCATTGAGAAGTTTTATTTCTTCTGTTCTCCTGATTCTTCGCCATTTTAGCAGCAAATATGTACTTACCATCCACTATGTGATTGATGCTTTGGAAATACAATGGAAAACTTGGTAGCAATGAACCCTCTGCCTTTAAGAAGCTTATATTCTATTTTAGATTAGGGAAGCAGGAAGGTCTCTCTATGTACAATAGAATGGGAAAGAACGAGCCACATAAGTGGTGTCAAAGAGGAATGCAAAAAGACAGCATGGCTGGAGCCAAGTGAAACTAAAAAGAAGATGAGGTTGACTAGAGACATGATTCAGATCACCAGAGGCTGGGAGGCAATGGAGAGCATTTTGATTTGATTCTAAGTTCAATGGAAAGTCACCAAAGAGTTCTAAGAAGGAGTATAACATAGGGTTTGACACAGTGGGTGGGTGAAGAAGATCACACTTGCTACTAGAGATGGGGAGTACGTTGTAGAGGGGAAAGTATGGGTGCAGAGAGATCAGATGGGGGTTATTTCAGGTGTCTACATAAGGGATGATGGTGACCTCAAATGGAAGTAGAGGTAAGTGGAGAGATGTGAGATACATTTTCAGATAGCAGGAGTAGGACCTGCTGATGGGTGTGTTGACATGGGCTGAGGGCAGGGATGAGGCAGGAAGATGGTAAAATCAAGAATATTCCTGGGTTGCGCAACACTCCTCTGTCCACTCCCTGTGATGCGATTTGGCATTTCCCAACTCTGCCTTCCCTCCTAAAAATCAGGAATCGGTCTTATATTAATTTTATTTTGGGTTCTGTATCTGTTGAATTCCATAAACATCTCTCATTTTTTTCTGGTTACTCATTCATCTATCAGAAATTGTGTAAAGTCCATATTTTTTCAAATTTAGACACCTAAATAATAAAGATTTAAACTATTAATAAACATGTACTTAATTTCAAAAAGAGCCTGCTAGACATAGGTGAATAGGGTTTCCCATTTCCCGAGAGGAGGAAGAGGTGAGGAAGATTGTGTGGGGAAAATTGAGAGGAAAATGGAGCAGTAGTAAAGGAGAATGCCAGCTAAAGGGAATTTTGTTTTGTTGTTGTTATTTGTTTATGTGTTTTTTGTAAAGATGAGATACAGTAGAGCATGTTTGCCCAGTGAGTACAGTGATCCAATAGAGAATAAGCTGTCGTGGTGCAGATACAAGAAAGATAAAAGAACAGACGTAATGACATCCTTGAGAAGGCCACAGGGTGGGGGCTTTCCAGCTCCTGCAGCAGGATCCGCCTTGAGTGGGTGATTGGGGTGGGTGCAGGGTAGAGAGAGATTCTAACTGAGCAAGTTTAGGATGAGGGCTTGCACTCCAGAAAAGGCTGGAGAAGGCACTGAGAGAGCTGTTAGGAGGGAAGCCAGAGATGAGAAACATAGAATCTCATCTCAGGGAGTGAAAAAGGAGACTCCTAGACACAGGATGGTGGGCCTTTGTTGAGCGACTCTTCCATAGAGGAAAGTGCCGGATAGCTGGTTTCTGGAGAATTTAAGTATTACTGTATTATACATTATAATGCATCTTTGTATAATGTTTTTCTCTTATTCCCCAAGATCTTTCATTTTCTTTTGGAAAATGTGGACAGTTAGTCTCCATGTATATCTCTGTGGTTTCTTACTCTTATATTAATTTTGTTTTGAGTTGAATATCAATTGAACTTCATCAACATCTCTCATTTTTTCAGGTTACTCATTCCTGTTTCAGAAATTGTTCATAAATGTTCATTATTTTCACATTTGGACACCTAAATAATAATGATTTAAACTAAACATTTATTTAACTTCAAAATGTATATACTATTTGCCTTTTTTATGGTGAGAATATATTTGTATAATACCTATTTATGTCAACACAGCAACTAACATAATAAATATACTCTTAGATTATAAAAGCTCACTTTATATAATCAAAGAATTTTCTTTATGTTATAAAATAACTGGTATGAATATGCTATTTAGATTATCATTCAATTACTTACACCTCATTTCTTTCAAAATGTATTGGAGATATTTCCCAATTTGCAGGTGCTTGGAAGGTTGGAGTGATGAGTGTGTGTTTGTGTGGATGTGCTTTTGGATGTGTATGCACACAAAGGTTTCTTCTTTCCTAATCTAATATTTCTTTTTTCTTTTTTGGCCTGACTTCTATACACAATTTTCTTAGCCCTTCTGGTAGGTTATTTAGGAACTCAAAAGTGCTGGGTATTGGCTTTCATGTCCTGCCAGCCTTCCTTCTTTTCTTTGGGAGAATGTTCTGCATTCCAGGAGACCCTGCTCCCAAGCATCATTCACATGGTCAGGCTGTCCAGGTGCCTCTCACCCCACTTGGAGATGAGGCTGCTCTGTTTTCCTACTTTGGTAATCCCTGCCTCTGTTCTAAGGGCCTGGCCAAAACATGGAAAGTCTTACTCTTTTTTCAATCCGATCTTACAGCAGTGCTGGTGACATTTTATTCTAGGTAGATGTTTGCATGAGGCAGTTCTTAAAAAAAAGTTTAAAAAAAGATCTTTCTGTCTCTGAGCTTTTTTCATCTATTTCCTCCTTCTGTCATATTTCCAGAAGGTAATTGAGAGTCAGTTATGTTTTATTTTATTTTAACCCAGTGATACAGGCAATGATGAGTTTGCATGTTAGTAAAATGGGAAAATGAGATGTGTAGAGGCTGAGGGGCAAAATGAGAATCGGCACAAAAATCTGATTGATACAACATTCTGTGAGAGGCAAGAATGTCCCTGTTAGGCAGGAAGCCCTGGGTAAGATAACCTGGAATGGGTGTATATGATCAGAACACAGGGCAAAAAAAACCATCCTCAAGACTTATCGCCATATGAAGACTGAAAGACAAACCAACCTTCTGAGTGAACTCACTGAAAAAAATCTTGTGTGCCTGGAAACATTCTGAAAGGGGCCCCTCCCTTGGGCTATAAAATCAATGGTGAATATCATTATCAAATCAGATATGGGTAAGCTTTTACAGCATCCAGTTCCCAGTGACTATCCCTTAAAGAACAAAACAAAACAAAAACACCACTATCCGTAGGCAAGTGTTTTCTCTTGACCACATATTTACATATGAAAGTCTATTCTGGGGAAGGACAGTGAGGAAGATGGAAAAATCAATGAAAAGCTCCCTCTTTGAATTTGTAGAGGCCTTTCTTTCAAAGGTGAGCCCTTCTGCACAGATTTGTTTGCAGAGACCCACACAGGCCCCATATTTATTTAGTTCCTATTTGAAAAGAAGCTTTCCTCCTGCCTTAGAAGAAGCTCATTACAGATAGACTTCACCTTTCTGTTGCAAAAGATGTTTCCTTGAAATGAAAATGTAATGAGTGTTAGATCAGTAGCATGTAGCTGCCAGGCTATCTCTTTGATCCAGTTTGGAATGCATTTGTTAAAAAGCTGCTTTATTGATTTTTTTAGCTGCTTTTTGCTGTGTTTGGATCATTTGTACATATACACATCACAATTTTTGCTACATCAAAGTGCTTAATAAGTTCACTGCACTCAGGAAATAGCATACAAAACAAAGGAACTTTGCTCTATAAAGATTTCTGCCTCTTAACCTCCAGTATGAAAGTTGTTTTTAATGTGTTTTTTTTTTTCTGAATAGCTTCAAAATATTTTATGCAGTCTTCAATGAGTCAGCCAGGGCCCCGCTTCAGATCTCCTTCTTTGAAAATGATGCATTCTGGAAAAGGAAGGATTTGATTGAACGAGTAAACACATCTCACATCCATTCTGCTGGACAGGAGTCATTTTACTTCAATTAATTATTTAATTGGCTCAATTTGTGGGTAGCGGCAGCTTCCAGGAAAGTGTTGACAATATTTGATGTATGTGAGGATAGCTACTAATTTAGTAATAAGTTGAAATTTACTAGGTAACTAATGTGATGTTTGTTTATTAGGTCCAATTATATGACAAAGAATGAGCACATTATAACCTTTAATGCTGATTTTTTTTTTTTTTGTATCATGTACATACAAATCAGTGTTAAGTGCTTTTAACTCTAAACAGGTATTTCCTGGGGGCAGACTCGGAGCCAGCTCAGTGGAAAGCACGACTGGGAAGACAGAGCTGAGTTTGCTCCACTTTTGGTCTCAGGCCAAAAGTGCTGACTGTGGTCAAGTGTGGGCTGCACAGAGGAGCTGTCCAATCCAGCTTTCCAACTAGACCCCTCGTGCTGGTATTCGGGCAGGCTATACCTCCTGCAGATGTACAAATGAACATGCATTAAAGATTTTATTTACCTCATTCAGTGAGGGAGCTAGGAAAACATTATAAACAGTTGAAATGGGGATCAAAACCAACATTTATTTGTCAGTAATAGTGAAATGAATATGCAAATGGAGTCAAAACTGGTTTTTCCATGGGAATGGTGTCGGTGGGGAGGGAAACCAATTAAACCCCTATGACAGGTGGAATTTATGGTGTTCATTAGTTACCTACAGACTATAGGTTTGTAAAATAGCTCAAAGACAATGAAAACTTAGAATGTGATAACCTCTAGAGTCTAGAAATTGTGGCGCTTCCCATTGAAGCACACCTTTTTTTGTACACCTCCAACAGTGGGGCGGACACTCAAATCCTTTTCTTTTTGTCTTTAAAGTCAGGAAAGTACGTTGACTTCAGGGGTCAGGTGAAGGTCAAGGGGTAAGAAAATAGGAGGCAGGTGATAATTGTGGGCTTCCAGTAATATTCTGGTAAGTGAAAAGGAAACATGACCTAAAATAGCAATGCATCAACTGAGTATTTAAAAGTCTTTTGTCTTTTCTAGAAATTTTGTCATCGTGGTGGTAGTTGATGTAAAAAGTGGTTTTCCTACTTTGAATTTTATCTTTTATTCTCTCTCTCTCTTTTTTCCCCTCCCTCCTTTCTTTCCTTCCTTCCTTTCTTTTTTCTTCCTTCCTTTCCTTCCCCTCCCCCCTCCCTCCCTCCCTTCTCTCTCTCTCTTTCTTTCTTTCTTTTCCATGACCTCATTCAGTGCCAGTTCACATTTTCATCTTGATCCATCCCTTTGTACATTGGACTCTCAAAAACAGCAATTCTTAACAGCTCAATTGGATTTGCCATTTGGGGCCATCTCTGTACATGGCCTCTAAATAAATTTACGAACTCCCCTTGGTGCAAAATTGAGATATAGATGAATGGGTGGCTCCCTAAGAGAGGAACGGGGACACCTGGGTCTGGTGGAACCATGTCCTGAAAGCACTATATGACTTTGGCAAACAGCACTCTTCTCTGGGTGCCATCCCATCTGGTCCCCAAGCAGAAGTCAGAGGGTGCTTAGCAGCCATGGCCTGGCCTGGCTGCAAAGGGCATCCAGTCAGCATTGCTTTGTACACTGGAGCTTTGAACCAGTGATCCTCAAGCCTCTCCAGTCAGGTCACTGGGAATTTATACTTTCCTAAAATGTCCGTTTTCTTGCTGTTTGCCTCAGAATGAAATCTCACCTCATGTGATAGTAGTCATGAAACCCAAAGACACAATGTGGAGAGGAGTTCACGAGAATGCCTGGTATGAGGAGAGCACCCCAAATCACTCTTTATGAGCTCATCTCAAATCTCGGGCTCCACTTATCCCACGGTAGTTTTTTTGTTTGTTTTTTTGTAGTTATAAAGATATAATTTACATGTAATAAAATTTATTTTTAATGTGTATTTCTTCTTTTGAACATATGCTTAGAGTCACACTACAATCAGATAATGTTTCTGTGGGACACCCAAACTTTCCTGGTGCCCCTTTTTTGTCATTTTTATCCCTGGTCTCCCAACTTTAGTAACCACTGTTGTGATTTCTGTCTCTATATTTTGCTTTTTCTAGAATGTCATATCAATGGAATCCTAGAAATGCAAACTTTTGAGTCTGGCTTCTTTCACTTATAATGCATCTGAGATCCATCAATGTCGTCACACGCATCAGTGCACGCTGAGTCGTATTCCCTTGTATAAATGGAACCCGGTTTATTGTCTCACCTACTGAAAGGGAGGTTGTTGGGTTGTTTTTAGTGATGGGACATCATGAATACAACCAGTAGAAACGTTCATTTACAGATTTTTTATATGAACACAGTGTAGTGTTTCTGAATTGGATGATAAATACGTGTTTAATTCTATAAAAAGCTGTCAAACTGTTTTCCAAAATAGCTAATCTATTTGGAATTCTCACTAGCAGTATATGAGAGTTCCAGTTGTTCCATCATATTCTCACCATCATTTGGTATTGCCTGCCTCCCTCCCTTACTCAATCTTCTTTTTTCTTTTCTTTTTTTCCATTATATTCTCACCATTATTTGGTATTGCCTGCCTGCCTGCCTGCCTGCTTGCCTTCCTCCCCTCCCTCCCTCTCTCTCCCTTCCCTTCCCTTTTTCCTTCCTTCCTTTCTTTTCCTTTCCTTTCCCTCCCTTCCCCCTCCCTCTTCTCTCCCTCCCTCCCTCCTTTCTTTCTTTCTTTCTCTTTCTTTCTTTCTTTCTTTTTCTTTTTTCTCTCTCTTTCTCTTTCTTTCTTTTTCTTTTTTCTCTCTCTTTCTCTCTCTCTTTCTTTTTCTTTTTTCTCTCTCTTTCTCTCTTTCTTTCTTTTTCTTTTTTCTCTCTCTTTCTCTCTCTTTCTTTCTTTTTCTTTTTTCTCTCTCTTTCTCTCTTTCTTTCTTTTTCTTTTTTCTCTCTCTTTCTCTCTCTCTTTCTTTCTTTTTCTTTTTTCTCTCTCTTTCTCTCTCTCTTTCTTTCTTTTTCTTTTTTCTCTCTCTTTCTCTCTCTTTCTTTTTTCTCTTTCTCTCTTTCTTTCTTTTTCTTTTTTCTCTCTCTTTCTCTCTCTCTTTCTTTCTTTTTCTTTTTTCTCTCTCTTTCTCTCTCTCTTTCTTTTTCTTTTCCTTCTTTTTCTCTTTTTCCTTTTTTCTTCCTTTCCTCCTTTCTTGCCATTCTACTAGATTTCATAGTGTTATCTCATACGGTTTAAATGATATTACCTTAATTACTAATATGTTGAGCTTTTTTTTTTTTCTTTACATGCTTAAAATCTTCTCTGTTCAAGTGTCTGTTCAAATCTTTTGACTGGGCTCTCTTTCAAAAGCTTTCCAATTCAAATTCTATCTTTCCAAAAATATGAATTCATTAAGTCTAGAAAGTATCGATCGGCGTATTTACAATGCCTGTGGATGCAATGGCGAAACAAACTCCTAGAACAGATTATTTTGTAGTACCTTAATACATAGATATTAAAGCAGTAATCAACTCAAGCCAGAGTGGATTCACTAAGAATGAATAATGTAAAGGGACCCATTTCCTTTCTTTTTCATGAATTAACTTAATTTTATATTAGAATAGTTGAATAGATATATTTTATTTCATGCTTGTGAACAAAATGGAGAAATATGAACTGCGTAACAATAGGTAAATTATATTTTGTTGAAAAACTATTACCCCAACATATTAATCTTTTTGAATCTGTCTAGCTGGAGGAATGTTCCTTAGTAATTAAATTCAAAATAATGTAATCATCAAAAATATTCCAATTAAGTCAACAATAATTGTTTTATAAATATTATTAAATGTGTATATTTTATTCTTATTTTAGAAATATCACATATTATAATAAATCTGGTATAGTTTCATGGGAGAAGGATCCTCTGACATTCATCTCAGAATGCTATACTTCACTTAAAGTTTACTTCCTTTTGTTATATTAACCCCACTTCATGAGATGCTATTTACTCTACTTTTTTTAAATGTGTATGCCTCACTTTAATGGTGTTGCTTTTGTTTTTTTTAAAATTGCTTATCTTTATATTTGAGCTTTCCTTTTACCCGGTGGGTTTAAGTGGCATACTGCTTGCTTCAGCCTATTTCGAGTAATTCTGAGGTAGAGGCAGGACAGATTGCGAGGCCTGTCATGCCAGGAGCTGCAAAGTCTCTCCCCTTCTTCCTGGGTCTTGGTAGACACTTGAGTTTCTGCCATGTTGTCCCTTCCACCTCCAGGCGCTGCTCCTGCCTGAGTTCTGCAGCCAAGTGCCCTGTGATTGCTATAAGAAGGAGGAATGAGGACTGGGGGGCGGCGATGCAGCAAACTGACCAGCTGCCACCTCTCCATTCTCCCAGTCAATCTCTCTGATCATTGTCTCTGCGCTAGCTCACAGTCTGGAAGCTTGGAGAGCCTCTTTTGTTTCTCCACTTTTTTTTTTTTCTCAGAGTTCTCTGTAAAAGCATGTTTTGGGTTGTGCTCTCCTGTTTCAATTAATTTATATCTACCCTCTGACTTTTAGGAACTTATTATATTATTTGACAAAGCACAAATGTGCAGAAAAATCCTAGGCCTAATAAACCCAGATGTTCTGGATGCAGATTCATGCTTCTCTCTCATGAAACTCCGCCTCCCAGGCCATCAGGGTGAAAGCAGGGTGGCAGCTGCTGTGAGGACAGCGCTGCCATGCAGCGCTAGAGACCATTCCCCACACCGCACCTGCTGCCACGGCAACAAGCACCCCTCCTGCCCTCCCCCTTTAGAGGATGTCATGTGGAAGTTCCATAAAGGCAAAGACCACGGAGAGCTCATCAGTGGATTTTACCCAGTAACATTTTAAAATGTATTTATTCCTTCTTCGTTTGGATTTTCTGAAAACGGAGCACACATTTCGATAGGCATCAAGCAGCCTGTTGATTTCATGTGTACTAACTAGCAATTTTCTTCTTATCAGAGATGCTTATTGAAACACGAGGCTTTCATTTCTTAATACAATGACACCTTTTTAATCAGTCCCGCACAGCTCTTAATTCAGGAGCCAGAATGTCAGTGAATAAAGTTCTCCTTAGAAAGCAGACCTGACAATTCCTATGGTTCGTGAGGCTTCACCTTCACCCAGGCAGCCATATTGACAAAAGCCCCAAGTGTGTTGCAAAGTGGGTGGGTGCCGGTGTTTTGCCTGCTTCGCGTTGGAACACCCGTCCTCTGTCTGGCATTGCTCTGCAGTAGGAATTTTGGTGGGAAGGAAGAAGTTGCAGAATCTGAGTCAGCAGAGTCTCTATTTCTAGATGTGCTTGTAGCTACTCTATGGACACCTGACCTAGCTTCTTCTAAGTCAGTGCTCCTCAACTGAGCACAAGTTTGACCCCAGAAGTCATATGGCAATGTCAGCAGACAGTTTCAACCATAACGACTGGGAGGGAGCTGCTGGCATTTAGTGTGCAAGGACCAGGGGTGCTGCTTACGCATACTATGATGCATAGAATGTTCCCACGAAAAACAATTGTCTGACTCCAAATGTCTACAGCGCCAAGCTTGAGAAACCCTAGTCTCAGTTACAGTACCTGGGAGCCAGTGGATCTCCAGTGTCCTGCTCGGGTCCTAGAAGGAGCTGGGAGGGGGTAGATTGTGGCCTCTGGTGTTCTGTGATGGCAGCAGCAACATTTACTCAAGACTCATTCTGGGCCGGGCGCGGTGGCTCACGCCTGTAATCCCAGCACTTCGGGAGGCCGAGGCGGGTGGATCACGAGGTCAGGAGATCGAGACCATCCTGGCTAACATGGTGAAACCCCGTCTCTACTAAAAATACAAAAAAATTAGCCGAGCGTGGTGGCGGGCGCCTGTAGTCCCAGCTACTCAGGAGGCTGAGGCAGGAGAATGGCGTGAACCTGGGAGGGGGAGCTTGCAGTGAGCCGAGATTGCACCACTGCACTCCAGCCTGGGCAACTGAGCAAGACTCCGTCTTAAAAAAAAAAAAAAAAAAAAAAGACTGGTTCTGTGCCTGGCCTTTGTTCTGGGTGTTGGCTTCTGCCTGGCTGTCTTAGAGTCTATTTCTGGTGTCTCATAACCATTCTTTTTTTTTTTTTTTTTGAGACGGAGTCTTGCTCTGTCGCCCAGGCTGGAGTGCAGTGGCGGGATCTCGGCTCACTGCAAGCTCCGCCTCCCGGGTTCACGCCACTCTCCTGCCTCAGCCTCCCAAGTAGCTGGGACTACAGGCGCCCGCCACTACGCCCGGCTAATTTTTTGTATTTTTAGTAGAGTCGGTGTTTCACCGTTTTAGCCGGGATTGTCTCGATCTCCTGACCTCGTGATCCGCTCGCCTCGGCCTCCCAAAGTGCTGGGATTACAGGCGTGAGCCACCGCGCCCGGCCAATAACCATTCTTAAGTTCCGTGACTCACTAGAAGGGCTCACAGGGCTCAGGGAGACTCAGGACTATGGTTCATTACAGTGAAAAAACACGCAGTGGCATCAGCAAGGAAAACAAATGCACCAGGCAGTGTCTAGAGGAGACCCAGCAGTGGCCTCCAAAGTCTTCCTGTGGATTTGCGCAAGACACACTCACTCCTCCAGCAATGAACTTCAGTGATGTAAGCCAAGTGTCTAAGCCCAGGGAGGGCAGCTTGGGTCTCAGAGGCTAGAGCTTTTATCAGGAGCTGGTCACACAGGCACCTATTTCCAGGAGGAAACGTGACCACCGTAAATCATGCTATTGACTTGGTACGAACCAACTAGATAAGCTTGGGCAGCATGTGTCAGGACCCCGGGTGTACAAAACAACCTTATTAATTAGCAGCGCAGGGAATATTGCAGGGCCAAGTTTTCAGGAGCTGGCCAAGGGTCAGTTAGGCCTTCCTGAAGAGATGTGAGACTCTGGCACTGTCAGGCAGCTAGCTCTTTCCTGCACACTGCAGTTGTCAAAAACTTCCCAGTCATTCTGTGCTTTCTTCAGTAACCTTTCAGTGAAGCCCTTTCTGCTAAAGTCAGACAAGTTCAGTTATTTCTGCTTCCAACCAAGAACAGGAGCTGACTCATACACAAGGTAATTCAAAAATAATAACCGAGGCCTCTTGTGTTGTTTGCATGGATCTTGTATGCATGTGTGTGTGTGTGTGTTTGATTTGATTTCAAAACGTTATCATTTCTATCAGAAAGGGAGCTTTCTTGAAGACTTCATGACAGCCACACATGAGTCCTTGGGCTGGTGTTCTAGGGAAGCACATTATCTGCCCGTGGCCTTTAATGATATGCATTTAAAATATTTTTTCTTTTTTTAATAGAGCCGAAGACCCAGGACACAGGCAAAGACTGCCCATATCACATTTTTGACGTTTGTTGATATAGAGCTCTCTGCCCAGGAAAGACTTTAGCTCCATCTGTCTGCATGTTATTACACATCCCAGGCCACTTAATACATCCAGCTTAGCTGTGGTCTGAGGTACCCTGCTTTTCTTAGGTTTGAAATGAATGCAGCTCATGCATGTAAGATGTGTCATAATCTCTTAGGAAGCAATATCACCACTCAAAATAATGAAAGATCTCGGAAAGAAAGGGTACGAATTTGTTGGGGAATATTTAGCCATGTTGTCTGACTTTCTTACCCACCACGTTTTTTGTTTTTCAGAGCCATTGAAGATAATGAAGAGATCACTCTTAAAGTGCTCTTTTTTTCTTTTCAGATTTTAATAGTAAAGCAGAACTTTAAAAAAAAATAAAGCTGATAAAAATTATTCATAGATTCATCATTTAGAGAAAATTGCTGTTAACATTTTGGTATATAATATTCCCATCAATTTTCTTTTCTTTTCTTTTTTTTTTTTTTTTTTGAGACAGAGTCTCTCTCTGTCGCCCAGACTGGAGTGCAATGGCATGATCTTGGCTCACTGCAACCTCCACCTCCTGGTTCAAGGCATTCTCCTGGGTTTACAGGTGTGTGCCACCATGCCTGGCTAATTTTTGTATTTTTAGTAGAGATGGGGTTTCGCCATGTTGGTCAGGCTGGTCTCAAACTTCTGACCTTAGGTGATCTGCCCGCCTCGGCCTCCCAAAGTGTTGGGATTACAGGCGTGAGCCACTACGCCTGGCCCCCATCTACTTTTAAAACGTGTGTGTGTGTGCACATGCATACATATATACATAATGTATATAAAATATATAATAAAAACATAAATATATATTTATACATGTGGCATAAGTGTGTGTATATAGAGATGCATGCACAGGTAGTCATAATTTATGCAGCAATTTATACATAATGTATATCATGTAATCCTGTTGATGTTCTTCTGAAACATGTGCCTGTTTCATTGATACCACATCGACCTGCAATATTCTTCTGCATCATGGAAGAATGTAGAATGGCCGCATGGTATTCCATCTCATCTCATACGATAGTCAGCACTTCCGTTACTGGACATACAACTGTTACCATTTATTTGCAGTCACATGTCAGGCTGTGATTAACATGTTTAATCAAATCTATGTGCATATATAATTTTACCTCCAGACTATATCTTGGTGGTAGAATTTCTGAACCAAAGAGTGAGCACATTTTTCAAACAATTGAAACTCATGGCCAGTTATCCTCCATAAAAGTTGTTCCAAATTTCACACAGTAGGTCTTTTTTCCCATGAACTTGCCAATCTTAATGATTTCTAATTTTTAAAAAATCTCAACAGTTTGGTGTTTGTAAGTAGCTTTTCATTATAATTAAAACAACCTTGATTGTTAAGGAGTAGCCAGAAACCCTTTAAACAAAACCTTACTGGTATTTTTTGTTTGTTTGTTTTAAATCAGGATGTCAGCCTGTTTAAATTTACCAAGTACATGAAAAGGAAAACAAAACAAAAATTTCTTGACTCTAAAAAACCCTTAGGGTGGTCTACAGCCTGCATCTCTCTTCCATGACTTCCATGACTGCATCTGACTTCCATGGCCTCATGACTGAGGCCTGGGGCTGCACTCAGCAGGACAGGCCACCTTAGGCTGGGCCCCCGGGGGCAGTGCCAGGATTGGGACTGGGGTGGGACTGGTTGACAGGAGTCTTCTCAAATTATCTGTGCATCTCACAGGGGAATATATGGGTGTGCTTTTTTCCTTTGATAGGATGGATTAGGAGGACTCAGAGTTTTTCTTTTGTGCAAGGATAACGATTTGCTCCCCAAATTTTGATTGTCTCATACTCATTCCTTTTCTAATTATCCCATATTTGTTAAATACAAGATAATAGATTCTGACAAGCAATCAGCAAATGGGCACCAAGTGATGTGCTTCATTTTAATTGGATTGCCTTTTTTTTTTTTCCTTCTCTGCTAAATTATAGCCCATCAGCATGAGATTCCCTGTGGTGAGCAGCTAATAATATGCCCAGGTGCAGCCAATTTTACTTCCTAAAGAAGAACTAGTAGCTACAGATCCCCCTAAAGTGAAGTGGAAAAGTGGGCTGTAATAGCTCGTCTCAGCAGTGCGGCATGCTAGGGCAACTTTTACATCCGGATCTCTATTCTAACAATTTTTTTTTAATGCAGTGGCAATTAATTTGCATTATATTGATGAATTAATGAGGCACAGGACAGAAGGTTTTCTTAGAGACTTCTGAGAAATCTCTTGTTTAATTTTGCCTTAGATGTTACAATTTTTAAAAAATCTTTTTTTTAAGAATTAGGAATATAAAACCACTATAGATAAACACAAATGAAAATATCACTGTTAAATGAACCAGTGAAACAGCATTCCATATGTATTTTCCAAAGTGGTGCTGGGATGTGGCTTTGCTTTGGTGCACAAACCATAGACAAATGTACCCAATGGAATGTCAGTTAGGTTTTTGGGAACACTTTTCCCTATTTGCCATTAATAATGTTTGTTCCTATTTAAAACATTTTAGTGACTTTTAATTAGCTACAATGAGGTGAGAGTATATGTTTTAATCTTTATCTAACTTAATTTTATTTTTAAGCCACTTGACCATGATGTGCAGTTTTCAGATAAACCCAAATATTCTTTCTGAGGCTGAATCAATAGAGATTTTCGTCATCACATACTACACACCATCTGTCACAGCCATCTATCTGTTACTCTCTTGGTCAAGTGGCCACCAATACTCTTGAGCCAACTTGAAAACATATGGGAAAGACAGTAAAGGGACAAGGATTAAAGATTCCTGTCTTAATTCTTGAACCTGGAAAGAAAAAATGAAGGAGGAGAAAACAGAAATGGAGAAAACAACAATCTCCCCTCCCTACCAAGACAGGGAGGGTTTTCAGGGTGACCTCTCAGTGTGTCTTCACTCAGCCACTGCCTTCCATATTCCTGCCACATTCTGGTTCAGTTACTATTGTCCACACATGTCCTTCTTCCCTTGCAGTTTGTCCATCTCCACACTTCAGCCAGAGGGATTATCAAAACCCTTTGATAACATATAACAGACATCCTCATGCTGTATAACAAACATCCCCTTAAAACTGCCATTGGCTATGTTTGTAAACATGAGATTTGGACAGGACTCAGTGGAGCAACTCCCGTCTGCTCCAGGATGCCTAGGACCTCTGCTGGGTAGACACCAATGGCCAGTAGACAGAAATCTCTTTCTCCTCGCGGCAAATCTGACTTGGGGATTTGTAGAGGTCATTGTCATTCATGAGCTGATATTTGCTTCTCTTCAGCTCATTGCCAAGTGTCCCATCCACATGCTATCTCTAGCATGGTGCTTTCTGGGTAGTCACACTTCAGGGCTTCAAGAGAATGTTCTCCCAAAGACTGGGGTGGACTGCAAGGCTTCTAAGGACCCGAACTTGGAGATCTCAGGACCTCACATCCACCAGATTCTCTTGGTCAAGCAAGTCAGTAGGACCAGTCAGAATTCAAAGAGAGAGGGGAATTAAATTATAAATCTCAATGAGCAGAGCAGCAAAGAACTTGAAGACATATTTAATTTCTATAAAATCGTGTTGGATCATGTCACCCTCTAAGCGTACAACCTTCCAAGGCTTCCCATTGCTTTTCAGATAGAATCCAGCACTCACCCCAAACAGCCTGTATGTTCCTGCTGACCAGACTCATCTCACAATGTGCTCTCTGAGTCCTGCTCTGTGTATTTCAAATCCACTGATCCTTTATTTCTCTAACTATGGTGGTTGTCCCACCTCATGTTCCTCTCTTTGCACACTGTTTAGCTAAAGCCAAGCTATCTTCCAAGTCTCTGTTTAAATGTCACTTAGTAGGGGCAACCTCCACTGACCCATGGGTGCAGTCAAGCTTCCCTGTCTTAGCATCCAGAATTATCAAATAATTAGTTGTGTGATTTAGTATATGCTTCACTGAAGTCCCATGAGGGCAAGGGCATAGTGTGTGGTTCAGAGCTATTTGCATAGCACCTAGAAAACTGTCCTGCACACAGTTGGCACTTACTAAATATTTACTAATGAGTCAACATTACATTAGCCAACCTTAGGAAAGAGTGCTTACCTGTGCATCTCAAATGACACCAACTTTGTGAAATAATAGTCTCCTGAGACATGCTGGATCTGCACCATCCAGTAGGGTAGCCCTGGCCACACACAGTGTTGGGCAGTCAAAGTATGGCTGGTCTGAATTGAGGGTGCCATAAAATACATACCCTTTTTCAAAGACATGGTGTCACATCAAAGGGTATCAATTGTCTCATTGATATTTCATATGAATTACATGTGGAAATGATAATAGTTTTGATACGCTGTGTTACCTAACAGTATTATTAAAATTGAAAACTAGGCCGGGCACAGTGGCTCGCACCTGTAATCCCAACACTTTGTGAGGCCAAGGCAGGCAAATCATGAAGTCAAGAGATTGAGCCCATCCTGGCCAGCATGGTAAAACCCAGTCTCTACTAAAATTACAAAAATTAGCTGTGGGTGGAGGCGTGCACCTGTAGTCCCAGCTACCCGGGAGGCTGAGGCAGGAGAATCGCTTGAACCCGGGAGGCAGAGGTTGCAGTGAGCCGAGATCGCGCCACTGTACTCCAGCCTGGACGACACGGTGAGTCTCCATCCCAAAAAAAAAAAAAAAAAAATTGAAAACTAATTTCACCTGTTTCTTTTTACATTTTTATATGACTTTTTGAAAATCTGAAACCACATATGCAGTTCACATTTATGTCTCATGTTATATTTTGTGGGACAAAGCTGCTCTGAAGAGAAGGTTCTAGGGTGAAATGTACTTGGAGAAATTCTGCAAGCACTCTCACTCTTTAGAGGGTTTGCAATGAACATATCAAAAGCCCTGAGAAGTCCTGCAGCAAAACTGCTGTTAACTCTAAGCCAGTGCATTTCAAAGCTGACTGGACCTTGCATAGGTCTCATCTTTTTAAGACCTTGGATATTCACCTCCCATGAAACACACTTAGGGAAACATGATTAGGTGACGGCCACCCTGATGCCTGGCCCTGAGGTCGTGGACATGGTTCATGTAAAACTGAATCTTATTATGCAGATTAGAGGCAGAGCCTATGGAAGTGCATTTTTATTGGGGGAGGGGAGGGGATGGAATCAGACACAGGAGAAGTGCCAAATTCAAGCACTTTGGCAGAATCACACAGCCCCACACATAAAGTCGTATAAGCACATATGTTCCCACCGGAAGCTGGAAGCCGCTTCTACTCTGATGGAGGGGATGGGGCCTTGCCAGCCCCAGGGTCATGGGCAGCCCGTGCTGGGCTCTTTACAGACATCTAGGGCTGTTCCTTGGTTTGCCTTATTTCTCTAGTTTGCTCAGTTTGCTGAAGGGGCAAACCAAAGGTAGGACACAAGTTCAGGTCCACAACGGCTGGGTGCAGTGTCCGAGATGGAGGGGAGAAATGTACACCGAGTGGCCGTCAGGGCAGCAGATGGTCTGCAATTTCCTCCCAGAAATGTGGGCATTTTTTTCTTTCTACAGTAAAGAGTGGATATTGTCTCGCTGGGCTTTCTGAATTTCATTTTTGATGAGAGATTTAAATATGCTGTTTCTCAGCCCAGAATCCTCGAGATGTTCGTGTGGACTATGTCCCAAGCCCCGTGCTTGTTTTAAAGGTGTTTGGTTGTCAAGAAAGGTATCCTGTGAACCTAAGAAATAGTCCGTCTCCCTATGAGGCAGGATTGTGGCCTCTTTTAAATTAATCCCACGTGAACTGTGACCTCTTTGTTGGACTGTCACCAGAATCATCTTGATATAAGAGCACTGAGTAATAAGAATCTAACCAGAGCTTGAGGCAGCCGTGATAGTCTCACCACCATCTGCCCATCCTGGAGCTAGACTTTCCCAGGCAAGGCCTGCCTGTCCTCTGTCAAAGCAAATGCTGGCCTCCCATTAGCTCCTAATTCTAATAAGGGTTTCTATTTTATCCACTTACCTCTCCTCCAGTTGATATTTCCCAACATCTTTTTTACCATCTTCCCCAACAATTCAGTCCTAACAATGCTCTCCCCTTCCTGAGTCATCTTTCCTTTTCTCACAGAAGTTCATCCCTTCCACACTGCAGGATTAGAAAGATCACTACCTTGTGTTATTCTCACAGAGCAGAGATGCCAAGCATTTCCCCACAAGCATAAATCTTAATTGCCGTCCTTGCTACAAATCATAAATAACCCTAGCCCAGGTATCATTGCACAGAAAGCCAGGCAAAGGAGACAGAAAGCCAGGCAAAACATAATGAAAAGGTATTAATTGATAACTAAACAGGTGTTCTATCTTGCTCCAGTACAAATTTTATGGCAACAATTTTGTTGAATTGCTTCTTCTGGCATTGAAAATTTCATATGATGTGCATAGTTTCACTCTTTCTAAACCCATCTGGGGAAACAACAACGGCAAAATCGTGATTTAAAAATCTGAAGCAGGCTGGGCGCGGTGGCTCATGCCTGTAGTACCAGCACTTTGTGAGGCCAAGGCAGGTAGATGACTTGAGTCCAGGAGTTCCAGTCCAGCCTGGGCAACATGGCAAAATCCCATCTTTTCTAAAAATACAAAAAATAGCTGGTCATGGTGTCACATACCTGCAGTCCAAGCTATGCAGGGGCCTGAGGATGGAGGACTGCTTGAGCCCAGGAGCTCGAGGCTGCAGTGAGCCATGATTGTGCCACTGCACTCCAGCCTGGGTGACAGAGTGAGACCCTGTCCCAAAATTAATTAATTAATTAATAACAATCTGAAGCAATTCAACTTATTCAAAACACTTTACCCAGAAAGAACTTGCAAATTACCCAGGGTGAAAACGAGTGGTAGCTCCTGGAATTAATAACCTTAAATTTAAAGAAGAGAAGAGGTCCCTGGTACACTTCAAACCAAAATTGTTGTATCCTTTAAGAGTATTGCAAAGTTAACTTTCTAAATATGTGAATTTATTTAAATTTCCCAACAATTAAAATGAATCAATGTTTCCCAAATTGTGTTCCATTAAATACTTCTCAGGGAGAGTTTGAAAGTTCTGCATTTGAATATGGGCTTTGATGGTCAATAGACTTGAAAAATACCTCATAGTAGAGATCTACTAAGAATACAACGCATACAAGCACACTAAAAGTGCTGAGATATTCTGTTGTCAACACACCTGTTTCACTTCAGCTAACCTTTTCCAGAGCTTATCTGGGCACAAAACAGTTTATTTTGAGCTGTATCTCTTATTTTTCCTTAGAACACCGTTTAGGAAATGAGAAAATATACAATGTTACCTGGTATACAATGGCACGGTTTCTTTTTTGTTACTCTGCTCAACACACCTAACCATTTCTCCCTAATTTTAATTTTGCATATAATCACAGGATATTTTGCTGTTCTTTGCAGTTTCAAATATATTTTCAAAATATTAATTTTTATCCCTAATGCCAGAAAAATACACTGCTATGGCATTTCAAAATTGTAGCCATGAAATAGAATGAGATGTGATGTCATCACGTTTTTAGGATAATTTCTCACTGCCACTAGAAAAATACTTCAGCAGAATTCATGAGGATTATGTATATTTTATAATCAGTCTCCTCCTACCATTTATGGTGCTCTTTAGAGGTGATAATTCTGTCTTTTGAAGATCTCTGGATCACAGGAACAAGAGTGATGGCAACACCAAGAGCAAGCCAGGGCCCTCCTGAAACTCCCCCCTTCCTCACTCACTCTTCACTGCAGCCTCTGAGAAGGGACCTTGGCCCTGTACCAACTTCCTTCTCCATCCAAAGTGGCACCTATGGAATGGCGCCTCTCAATGTGGGAATATTCTAACCAATTGCTTTGTATTAGTTCATTACCTTGCTGCTGATAAAGACATACCCGAGACAGGGTAATTTATAAAGAAAAAGAGGTTTAATGGACTCACAGTTCCACGTGGCTGGGGAGGCCTCACACTCATGGCAGAAGGTGAAAGGCACGTCTTACATGGCAGCAGGCAAGAGAGAATGAGAGCCAAGTGAATGGGGAAACCCCTTATAAAAACATCAGATCTCATGAGACTTATTCAGTAGCATGAGAACAGTGTGAGGGAAACCCCCACCCGCCCATGTTTCCATTACCTCCCACCGGGCCCCTCCCATGACACGTGGGAATTATGGCAGTACAATTCACGATGAGATTTGGGTGGGGACACAGCCAAACCATATCATGCTTCTTTTCATTTTTCCCCTAAAGAAAGAATATCGCTTTCTAAAAAGATGAAATCCCTGAAAAGATGGAATTTATTTCCTAAAAAAAAAAAAAAAAAAAATCAGAATTAAAGGGAGAATGAGGCATATGAAATTTGGATCCAAATAACTTGAAGCACATTTCTTATATATGATGTTCTTTGTAGAATTCCTTTGACTGATTGGAACCATTTATCTTGCTGTGATTTCACAGCACAGGCATAATTGTGATTGTTTTATTAGTTCTTTTTGCTGATTAACTGAAACATAATTGTGCTTTTTGAAAAAAGAGTGTGAAGTTAGTTGATTTCTGAAAAGGTATGTAAGAATGTAAACACGAGGATTCTTAATATCAGTGGAAGAAAATGACTCAGTGGTGGGACTGTGTTTTCACACTGCTAATAAAGACATACCCAAGACTGGGTAATTTATACAGGAAAAAGGTTTAATGGACTCAGAGTTCCACGTGGCTGGCAAGGCCTCACAAACATGGTGGAAGGCAAGGAGGACCAAGTCATGTTTTACAAGGATGGCAGCAGGCAAAGACAGAGCTTGTTCAGGGAAACTCGCCCTTTATAAAACCATAAGATCTTGTGAGACTTATTCATTGTCACAAGAACAGCACAGGAAAGACCTGCCCCCATGATTCAATTACCTCCCAGCAGGTCTCTCCCAAAATATGTGGGAATTCAAGATAAGTTTTGGGTGATGACACAGCCAAACCATATCAGACTGAAAACAGAGCAGAGAGATGTTCATTCCATGGAAGCTAAAAGGTACATTTGCTCTGAGCTGTGAGCTCGCATACAGAAGTGGGCTGCTCAGCTACTACAGCCCAGGTCACACTCTGCTGTCTCCTGGCTGTGTGACCTTGGGCACCTTCTTTAACTCCCATGCACCCGTTTGGTAAAACTTGGGGCTGGCCTGGGTTGGAGGCCAAATTCAACCACAAGCCAGCCAATGTTAGCCAGCTAGAGGATTTGTACTTGACAAATATTTGTGTTTGACTGTTGACCTGGGCAATGTTTAAAAATTTATTTTGAATAGTTGCCAACACTAAACATTTTAAAGGTAACATAAAATCTGGATTTCCAGCTCCTCTGGAAGAATTATAAATCTGGCAATGCAGGCTCTCATTCCCACCTGGCAGCTCCAGCAGTGGCTTTGGTGCTCTTCACTCCAGCTCATCAATGTCCCCATCACCCCCTCGTGGCCCCAACACCAACACTGAGACAGAGTACCAGCTGCCAATTGTGTGGCTGTCTCTTTATTATAATTCAGAAGCATTAAATGATTTATGATATTCATATTCCTATCTAAAGTAGAGTATTTGTTTAAAGAAAAATGAAATATAACATTTTTATGGAAATAAGAATGTGCATTGGCTGGGCACAGTGGCTCACATCTGTAATCCCAGCACTTTGGGAGGCCAGGGTGGGTGGTTCGCCTGAGTTCAGGAGTTTGACTCCAGCCTGGCCAGCATGGTGAAACCCTGTCTCTACTAAAAATACAAAAATTAGCTGGGCGTGGTGGCACATGCCTGTAATCCCAGCTACTCGGGAGGCTGAGGCAGAAGAATAGCTTGAACCTGGGAGGTGGAGGTTGCAGTGAGCTGAGACTGCACCACTGCATTCCAGCCTGGGCAATACAGTGAGACTGTCTTAAAAAAAAAAAAAAAAAAAAAAAAAAAAAGAATGTGCATTAAGCACATATATAAGTGAAGAACATATTTTTTGTTTAAAACCCATTCACCTTTGCTCATGTTTACTAATGTCTTGGCCCCTGATGGCCTTTCATTCTGTAGCCTGTATAGAGCAGGGATCAGCAAAATGGGGCTCACAGGCCAAATGTGGCCCAACCCCTTTTTTTGTAAATGAAGCTGTATTGGGACGCAGCCATGTTCACTTATTCGCATTTTGTTTATGGCTACTTTCATATTACAATAGGACACTTCAGGAGCTGCAATAGAGACTCTGTATCTCTCAAAGCCAAAAATATTTATCATTTGGCCCTTCGTAAGAAAAAGTTTGCTGACTTTGATTTTCAGCGAGGGCACCCAGAGAGCTTGGAAGTGATTACTCCTGGGCTCATAACATGAAAAAAAGCTGAACAGAATGAAAATCTATGACTTTTCTGGATTCATCAGAGGATTGAGGTCACAGGGCAAACCACTGGTCTGCAATCTGGAGAGACAGGTCAACACAGAGAATGAGAGCCAAGGTCAGCTTACAGGGGGCAGAAGCTTGCGGAGCCAGTGATTGGTAGGAACACGTAAATGGTAAGTTCAATGAATTGCTGGAGACTAAGTATGTGAGGCTTGAGAGTTAATATTTCCTAGGAGCCCCTACAGCTTTCTTGAGTTTTTCCTCCAGGAAGCTCACCAGATTCTCACATGAAGGTCAGAGAAAAATCCCCTCCAGTTCTGAGCATGGGAAGTGAGAAGGTAAGTATTTGAAGCAAGCCCATTGCATTCTCTATAAGAAAACCATGTCCTTCAAGGAAGGCTACCTTACCAGAACATTGTCCAACTTGAGGAAAGGAAAATTAGCCACTGGTGCCCCCTTCTATCCTGCCTGCCTCACATAGGAGGAGGAAGAAAAGCTAAAAAACAAACAAACAAATAAACACAACCACAAAGCACATCTGAAAGTCACAATCCAGGGACTTGGGTATACTGCAAGCTGAGATTTTATCTTAAGAGTATGGAGAGCTTCCTCTCCCTAACACCTCAGCATCACATCAACAAGGCTCCAAAATAATACCAGTGAATTACAGCTAAGAGAGCTGCAAGATGCAGCCTCTATTCAAGAATGAGTTCCTAGGGAAACACAAAGACAACAAGAGAGAAAAGTGAGATAAAGAAACTAAAGGCTGTGTCACCTGCAGCTACATCAAACATTAAATACAGCCCAGATTCATGTAAAACCTCATGCTAAAAGTCTAATTATATTAGCTTTCATTACCCAAATACTGTGTCTGACTCTCAACAAATAATGACAAGAAATGAAAGGCAAGAAAAAATACATATGAAGAGACAGAATAAGCATCAGAACCAGACTCATATATGGCAGTGATTTTGGAATTATTGGATATGGAATTTAACTATGATTAACAGAATTAGGGTTCTAATAGGAAAAGTAGATGACAAGCAAGAACAGATGGATAATGTCAGCACAGAAATGGAAACTCTAAGGAAGAATTTAAAGGAGGTGCTAGAACTCAAAAGCAATGTAGCAGAAATAAAAAGTGCCTTTGATGAGCTCATTAATAGACTAGATATAAACAAGAAAGAATCAATGAGCTTGAAGATACGTCAGGAGAAACTTTTTAAACCAAAATGCAAAGAGAAAAAAAATGAATGGAAAAATAGAAACAGACTGTTCAAGTACTCTGGGACAATTACAAAAGGTATAACACATGCAGAATGAGAATCCCAGAAAAAGGAGAAAAGGGAGCAGAAGATATATTTGAAATAACAATAGCTGACAGCTTTCCAAAATTAATGATAGACACTAAACCACATATCCAAGAGGCTCAGAAAAAAAAAAAAAAAAAAAAGAAATGCAAAAAAGTCTACACCTAGGCATGTCATATCCAAACTGCAGAAATCTAAAGAAAAAGAGACAATATTGAAACAAGCCAGAGAAAAACACCTTACCTGTAGAGAGACAAAGCTAAGAATTATACTGGACTTTTTGCCACAAGCTACACAAGTAAGAGAGTGGAGTGAAATGTACAGTATTGAACAACAACAACAGTAACAACAGCAACAAAAAACCCACCAAGATAGAATTCTCTGTCTACATAATGTTTCTTCAAAAGTGAAGGAGAAATAAAGATTTTTGTCAGACACAAAAAAATTGAGGGAATTTGTTACCAGTAAACCTGCCTTTAACATTTAAGAAAGGTTAAAAGAATGTATTCAGAAAGAAGAAAATAGCATGGGTCAGAAATTCAGATTTACATAACAAAAGGAGGAGCTTCGTAGGAATAAATGACAGTAAAATAAAATGCATAAGCAGAATTAGAAAAACTTGCTGTTATAGTTAGGGGCTTCAGCACCCCTCTGTCAGTAGTTAACAGAGCCAGCAGACAGAAAATCAGTAAGGTTATAGTTGACCTATGTAACAATGCCATCAAACAACTGAATCTAATTTACATTCATAGAATACTTCATGAACAACAGCAGAATGCACATTCTTTACAAATTCACATGGTCTATTCACCAAGACTATATTCTGGACTATAAAAGACATCTCAAGAAAATTAAAATCATAGACATCATATAAAATATGGTCTTGATTATAATGAAATTAAACTTCAATGGAATTAAATTTAATAACATAAAGACAGCTGCAAATCTCTAAATATTTGGAGAATAAAAATACACTTCCAAATAACACATAAGTCAAAGCAGAAATCTCAAGGGAAATTTAAATTATTTGTAACTAAATGAAAATATAACCTATCAAAATGTGGGATGCAATGAAATCACTGCTTCACAGAAAACTTATAACATTGAATGCATAGATTAGAAAAGAAAAAAGATTTGAAATCAATAGTCGAAGCTTCCACCTTAGAAAACTGGAGTAAGAAGTGCAATATCAGCCTAAAACAAGCAGAAGAAAGAAAATAATAAAACTTAGACCAGAAATCAGCTACATTGAGACCAGGAAACCAGTAGAGAAAATCAGCAAAACTAAAATCTGGTTCTTTAAAAATGTCAATAAAATTGGTAAACCTCTAACCTGGCTATCAAGCAAAAAGAAGACATGAATTATTAATATTGGAAATAAAAGAGAACTCATCAGGAATGCTTTCATAGATGTTAAAAGGATAATAATTAAAGGGATAATAGGGTTATGAAAAGCCCTGTAGCCATAAATTTGAATACTTGGATGAAATAAACTAATTTCTTGAAGGACACAGACTATCAAGATTTGTATAAGGAGAAACAGATATTCTGAATGGGCCTATATCAATGAAAGAAATTGACTCAATAATTAATAACCTTCCAAAAAAGATAGCATCAGGCACCAGTGTTTGCACTAGTGAAATCTACCAACTCTTAAAGAAAAAAAATGATACCAATTCTTTGCAATCTCTTCCTAAAAATAAAAGCTGAGCTGACGTTATGTCTCATGACTATGATCTCAGCACTTTGAGAAGCCGCAGCGGGCGGATTGCTTGAGCTCAGGATTTCCAGACCAGCCTGGGCAACATGACAAACCCTGTCTCTACAAAAAATACAAATAATTATCTGAGCATGGAGGCACATGGCTATAGTCCCAGCTACTTGGGAGGCTGAGGTGGGAGAATTACTTCAGCCTGGGAGACAGAGGTTGTAGTGAGCAGAGATCTAGCCACTGCACTCCAGACTAAGTGACAGAGTGAGACCCAATCTCAAAAAAAAAAAAAAAAAAAAAAAAAGTAGAAGCAGAGGGAACATTTGCTAACTCATTTGATGAGGCCAGTATTATCCTAAAACCAAAACAGATAAAGACATCACAAGAAAACTACAGATCAATAGCTCTAATGAATTTAGATACAAAATTACTCAATAAAATACTAGCAGATTAAATCCAACAATGTATAAAAAGAATAATGTACCATGATGCATTTGGATTTATTCCAGGTATTGAAGGATGCTTTAACATTAGAAAATGAGGAAATGTAACCTATCGCATTATAATAGGCTGAAGAATGAAAATCATATGATCATAACAACAGATGCAAAAAAGAATTTGGTAAAACCGGCACTTATTTATGATAAAAATGTCTCAGCAAACTAGGAATAGAGGGGAACTTCCTCATCTTGGAAAAAAGAATCTACATAAAACCTATAACAGACATCATACTTAATAATGAGAAAATAAGTTTCTTCCCTCTAAGATTGGAACAAGTAAAAGATTTTCCTTTTCATCACTCCTTTTCAACATTGTGCTGGAAGTCTGAGCTAATCCAGGAAGGCAAGAAAAGGAAATAAAATATATACAGATTGAGAAGAAATAAATAAAATTGTCCTTGTTCACAGATGACATGGTAGTCTATTTGAAAATCTGAAACAGTTAACAAAAAAATTTCTGGAATTAATAAGTAGTCATAGAGGGTTGCAGGATACAAGACTAATATATGAAAGTCAATTGCTTTCCAATGTACCAGCAATAAACAATTGGAATTTGAAATGAAAAACCAATATAATTTCTATTAGCACCAAAAAACCCACTTAAATATTAATCTAACTACATCTGGACAGTATTTACATGAAGAAAACTACAAAACTCTAATGAAATAGACAAGATATATAGAAATGGAGAGAGATTCTATTGTCATGGACAGGACTCAATTTTGTTACGATGTCAGTTTTTCTCAACTTGATTTATAGATTCAGAGTCATCCCAATCAAAATCTCAGCAAGCCAATTTTTACACATTGAAAAACTGATTCTAAAGCTTACATGGAAAGCTAAAAGACCTAGAATAGGCAAGGAGATACTGTAGAAGAACCATGAGAGAACTGACATTACCTGACTTCAAGACTTTTGGTAATCACTAGCTTCTGGTGTTGGTGGAAGAACAGGCAAGTAGGTCAATGGAACAGAATGAGGGCTCAGAAACAGATGCACACAAATATATTCAACTGAATATTGACAAAGGAACAAAGACAATTCAATGGGGAAAGGATAGTCTTTTCAACAAATAATGCTGGAACACCTGAAAATCCATGTGTGAAAGAAACTAGACACAAAATTTAGCAAATATTTTACAATACGTGCTTTAACAACAACAACAAAAAAACTCAAAATTGATTAGAGACCCACATATAAAGTGCAAAACAATACAACTACTAAAAGATAATATAGGAGGAAGTCTAGGTAACCTTGGGTTTGGTTTTGACTTTTTAGATACAACCGCAAAAGTATGACGAATGAAAGGACAAATTAATAAGTTGGTGCTATGGTCTGGATGTATGTGTCTCCCCAAAATTCATATGTTGTGATAGTCTTAGGAGGTGGGGCCTTTGAGAGGTGATTAAATCATGAGGTCTCTGCCCTCGTGAATGAGATTAGTGCCCATATAATAAAGACCCCAGAGAGCTGCCTTGTCTCTTCCACCATGTGAGGACGTAGCAAGAATCACCATCTATGAACCAGAAAGCAGCTCCACACAAGACAGCAAATCTGCTGGTGCCCTGATCTTGGACTATCCAGTCTCCAGCACTGTGAGAAATGTCAGTTGTTCATAAATTACCCAGTTGATGGTATTTTCTTATAGCAACCCAAGCTAGCTAAGATAGTTTGACTTCCTTCAATTTAAAAACTTCTGCTCTTTTTATTGTTGTATCTCTGCCAGGTTTTGGTATCAGGAGATGATGGCCTCATAAAATGAGTTAGGGAGGAGTCCCTCCTTTTCAATTATTTGAAATAGTTTCAGAAGGATGGTACCAGCTCCTCTTTGTAACTCTGTAGAATTCAGCTGTGAATCCATCTGATTCTGGGCTTTTTTTGGTTGGTAGGCTATTAATGACTGCCTCAATTTCAGAACTTGTTATTGGTCTATCCAGAGATTTGACTTCTTCCTGGTTTCATCTTGGGAGGGTGTATGTGTCCAGGAATTTATCCATTTCTTCTAGATTTTCTAGTTTATTTGCATAGAGGTGTTTATAGTATTCTCTGATGGTAGTTTGTATTTCTGTGGGGTCAGTGGTGATATCCCCTTTATCGTGTTTTATTGTGTCTATTCTTCTCTCTTTTCTTCTTTACTAGTCTATCTAGCAATCTATCTATTTTGTTAACATTTTCAAAAAACCAGCTCCTGGATTCATTGATTTTTTTGAAGGATTTTTTGTGTCTCTATCTCCTTCAGTTCTACTCTGATCTTAGTTATTTATTGTTTTCTGCTAGCTTTTGGATTTGTTTGCTCTTGCTTCTCTAGCTCTTTTAATTGTGATGTTAGGGTGTCGATTTGAGATCTTTCTGGCTTTCTGATGTGGGCATTTAGTGCTATAAATTTCCCTCTTAACACTGCTTTAGCTGTGTCCCAGAACAATGATAACACATGGACACAGGGAGGAGAACAACACATACTGAGGCCAGCCAGGGGGTTGGGGGCCAAGGGAGGGAGAGCATTAGGATAAATAGCTAATGCATGTGGGGCTTAAAACCTAGATGACAGGTTGATAGGTACAGCAAACCACCATGGTACATGTACACCTATGTAACAAACCTGCATGTTCTGCACTTGTATCCCAGAACTTAAAGTAAAATAATAATAATAAAAAAAAGCCTTCTGCTCAGCAAAAGACACAATTGAACAATTGAGAACGTTAAAAGACAAGCCAAAGATGGAGAGAAAATCTTTGTGAAACACATATTGGAAAAAGACTTGTATCCAAATATATAAAGCAGCCTTAAAGCTCAACAATGTGAAAACAAATGATCCAATGTTAAAAAAGAACAAAAGATCTGGAAGATCACCTCACCTAAGAAGACACAGAAGTGGAAGATAAAGATATGAAAAGATGATCAGCATTATATGTCGTTAAATAATTTTAAATTAAAACAATAACGAGATACTACTCTATAGCTACTAAACTGGCTAAAATTCAAAAAACTTACAATATCAAATGCTGATGAGATGTGGAGTAACAGAGACGGCAGAGTCACTTTAAAAGACAGTTTGGGCCAGTCGCGGTGGCTCACGCCTGTAATCCCAGCACTTTGGGAGGCCGAGGTGGGCAGATCACAAGGTCAAGAGATCAAGTCCATCCTGGCCAACATGATGACAACCTGTCTCTACTAAAAATACAAAAATTAGCCGGGTGTCATGGCGTGCACCTGTAATCCCAGCTACTTGGGAGGCTGAGGCAGGAGAATCACTTGAACCCAGGAGGCGGAGGTTTCAGTGAGCCAAGATCGTGCCACTGCACTGTAGCCTGGGTGACAGAGTGAGACTCCATCTCAAAAAAAAAAAAAAAAAAAAAAAAACAGTTTGGCAGTTTCTTACAAACTAAACATAGTCTTACCATAGGATCCAGCAATCACGCTTCTTGGCATTCATGCAAATAATTTGAAAACTTATTTCCCCGTAAAAATCTGCACATGAATGTTTACTAAAGGCAACCGAACTAAAATCAACCGAAGTGTTCTTCAGCAACTGAGTGAGTGAACTGTGGACTTTTACTCAGTGATGAGAAGAATGATCCATCAAGCTACAAAAAGATCAGGAAGCACCTTAAATGCATACAGCCACACAAGGAAAGCAAGTCTGAAAAAGCCACATCGTATGTGGATCCAACCATATGACATTCTGGAAAAGGCAAATGCTGAGACAATAAAAATGTCAGTGACTGCCAGGGATGTGAAGGTGGCAGGTGGGGAAAGATGAACAGGACAAACCCCAGGGATTTGTGAGGCAGTAAAACTATTCTGCATGGCACTAGCATGGTGAATACATGACATTATACATTTGTCAGAAGGCACAGAACGTACAACACACAGAGTACAGCTTAATGTAAATCGCGGCCTTTAGTTAACAGCAAATTCCTCACACTGTTGCAAGATGTTCATAATATAGGAAGTTGAGTATAGGGGAGTGGCAGGGGACAGTGCATGGGAGCTCTCTCTACTATCGCCTCAATTTTTCTATACATCTGTAACTGTTCTAAGAAATAGGCCGGGCACTGTGGCTCACGCCTGTAATCCCAGCACTTTGGGAGACTGAGGCGGATGGATCACCTGAGGTCAGGAGTTTGAGACCAGCCTGCCTGGTCATCATGGCAAAACCCTGTCTCTATTAAAAACACAAAAAATTAGCTGGGCGTGGTGGTGGGCACCTGTAGTCCCAGCTACTTGGGAGGCTGAGGGGGAAGAATAGCTAGAACCCAGGAGGTGGAGGCTGCAGTGAGCCGAGATCATGTCACTGCATTCCAGGCTGGGAGGCAGAGTAAAACTCTGTCTCCAAAAAAAAAAAAAAAAAAAAAAAGCCTATTACTGTAAAAAAGATAGGTTAAAAAAAAAAAAAAAACCGGCTTGCAAACTTTGATTTAGAACCATGAACCTTTTTATCCTAAAACTCTGTGAAATACTTAGTACCCCATTTCTGTCATTAAACCAACAAAGGAGACATTTCGTTTGAAGAAGATATTTTCCCAAGAAATAAAACATAAATATGAAATACACAAGGTCATGTAGGAAAAGTAGATTATTTTTCTTTACCCTGTGAATATTGCTCTCAGGGTGTAGCAGTGCCCTCCAGTCAGGCAAAAATTAGTTGAAGCTAGTAATAGCCAACCTGGCTTAGAAATAACGGCTAAATATATGCATTATGTTGTGAGTGCTTACTATTTATTGAGAGTGTGTTTTATTAGATTTGGGTTTCTGAAAATGTGATAAATTAATTGGGTTGGTAAAATTAACTAGCAAAAATATTTGTAAACAGCTATAATCTTAATTACAAATGAGTTTATAAACTTTCATTTTTTCATTTTAAGGGAAAAGACAAGTGTAGAAGATGATGCTGTTTATTTTATTTTTAATATAACATCATGCTGCCTTACCTATTATCTTTTGATGAATTCTGGAATACTGAGGAACATGAGCATATATATATATATGAAATATTTGTAAAATGAGGAAACTGGGAGCTATTTTATTTTTCCCCAAGAGTGATTTTCAGCTATAAAACTGTAATGTGGTCAGGTCGTAGATCACATAAAAATCATTCTATGTTTCCCTTAAAATTATCTAAATAGAGTTCACTAGTTTTTCTTAATGTGCACATTTCGTATCACCCAGTATGGTCAGGGGTGCAGGAGGTAGGTCATCTTCAAGACATTTTCTTGTTGCAAGAAATTACCACAATTCTGTGTTCTGTTGTTCTTGTTTTTAAGATATTTACCTGCCAAGCATACGGCATAATTATACTTTCCAACCTCTCCAATTAAGAAAGAACTTTTGGTTCTTTGTGCTGTGGAACTCTGAGTAGATAAGATGTTTTTTCTTTTAGCTAACTGAATAATACCCACAAAATTCAATAAGCTCTTTGACAAAAATGGCCATTGAGGGCCTCTGAGTCACCTTACGCTCATCAACTCCCACCCGTCAATGAATATCAGAATATGGGCTCTAATATGCTTTAAAATTAGTCCTTCCTTAAAAAGGTGTCATGTAGGGGAAGCACTCTTATATTTGAAAGCAAGTATCAGAAAGCTGGAGAGTGGTACCGATCCTGCAGATATAAAAATATCTTTAGTGTTTTTCTAAAACATCTACTTTTCTAGGTAGTACCTGTCTATTATTAGGGGACAAGTGAGTCAGCCGTGTTGATGTGACGATATTAGGGTCCTTCTTGCTACAAGCTCATGTGCCATTTTAAGGCTTACCCCCAGAGCATGGGCTCAGCAAACCACTGCAGAGAAAACAGGCTGGTCCTAGTGCTCTGCCTTGTGCTAGTTCTTGCGCAAAGGAAAACCACAGGCCAGCAGGGCCTAAGAATCAGTCCAGACACGCACATGCACTCACACAGAGCACAGAGGCCACAGTTTGCCGCCTGTGGATCCCATTACCAACAGGGATGACTTTAGGTACCAGGATACTTCGTCTCATTCAGGTCAAAACTTTTACTTTGCCTAAAGCATTTCTCATTCGCGATGTTTGGATCCAAAGACTGTAGTAATGCTACAACTTGCTTGCTTCTTTGCTATTTTCCTTTCTTTTAAAAATGGATTCTCATCAGAACATCCCTTTCAATGTAATAAACTATATTTGGATCTGATCCTCTTATAAATTGGAACCAGAGTATGTGGTTAGGTTGTGCCTCATCTTTTCTGTTGATAAGTGTTTTATGTGAGGAGGTTCAGAAGAGCTGACTTTCAGCTACAAAGGTTGTGTTCCCGTTCCTGAGGCAAACAGCACCCTGGCCTTCAGGGCAGAGCTTGGCTGGGCCTTTAAGCACTGGGAGTCTTTTGCACACCTTCGAATAGAGATGGCTCTTGGAAACCCAGTATGTGCCTTTCCCTAGCAATTTCTCTTTTCTTTTCTTTTTTCTCTTCTCTCCCTTCCCTTCTCTTTTCCTTCCTTCCTTCCTCTTTTCTTTTCTTTTTTTTTGAGACAGGATCTCACTTTGTCACCCAGGCTGGAGTGCAGTGGTGTGATCAGGGCTCACTGCAGCCTTGATCTCCTGGGCGCAAGTGATCCTCCCACCTCAGCCTCCTGAGTAGCTGGGACTGCAGGTGTGCACCACCATGCCTGGCTAATTTTTGTATTTTTTGGAGAGACGGGGTTTCACCATGTTGCCTAGGCTAGTCTCAAACTCCTGGGCTCAAGCAATTCACCTACCTCAGCCTCCCAAACTCATGGAATTATAGGCATGGATATGGAAAGAAATGCATAGCAGATGGTAAAATAAGAAGGAAACACAATTGCACTTGGTGGCACCAAAGAAGGCCTGCCCTGTGCTGCCTGGGCTAGGGGGACTTCAGAAGGTGTCCTATTTGAAGGTGCACCCAGTAAGTGTTGGTTGCTCACCTCACCCAATACCTACCTGTCCTTCCATCAGGGAGCACATAGAATTGGGCTCAAGAGCATGAAACATTCTCAAGCGATATCTCTTTAGCATATGGGGTTCCCTCTACAAAGACTGAGGTTACTGTCTTGGCATCAGCCTCCCCTCCCCTGAGTAACACCAAAAACACAATCATTTGTTCCATTTGCTGGACCCAGTTGAGAGCCCACATCTGTTACTGTAGACAGTCAAGTTTTTATCTACATACAAGTTATTGATTATCTACAAGTTATTGATTATGATTATGGCATGCGACCCTCTGTTCACACCTAACTGTGCTCCAGCATCCTCTTTAGGCCATCATCCCAACATTATCTCTATGGCTACTCTTTATTACCCCCTACCCTGTGCCAAATATTGTGCTAACTAATGGCCTGACAGCTGTTATTTTATTGAATACTCACAGCAGTCTTGAGACAGTCGTTAGTGTTTTTATTTTTCAGATGATAAGAGTGAGATTCAAAGAATACAAGTATCTTGCCCAAGGTCATATTCCTGAAACGACAGGCCAGGATTACTGCCCAAGTGAGTCCTCTTTAAACCCAGGTTCCTGTCCGCTATTGTGATAAGCTATGTCACACTGTAAAATTAGTCTGCTGGTTACCTTCCAGGGACTCATGGCTTTGCAGAATCTCCACCCACCAGCCACACATGTCCAGACTCTATTGCACAGTGTATTATTGTTCCAAATCTAGGATTGATTAATATTTTCCTGTTTTACCTTTAAGAGGATGACCCTTTTTTGACTTTATCCCAATAAGTTTTGAGGTAGGGGCATCTTCCTACAGGCCTTATGGATGAAAATAATTCTCCACAATTTTAAGTATGATAGCCACCTGAGATTAACTGAAAAGGGGCTTGTAAGAAAGCAGAATTTTGTTTCAAATATAGGGGGATAAATGAATGGACCTAAGTAACTTTCTGAAAAAGCATAAACGAAAACAACAACAACAAAATATGCTATTTAACCTGTGTTCATAGGAGTCGATTAAAACCTTCTATTTTGGAACATGAGATTTAGCGGAAAACATCTGTAGATAGGTAGCAAATGTTAGCAGCTATTTAAGATGTAAGTCTGACTTACTGATGAACATCAGAAATGGATCACTCGGTCGCTTGGAAATTCAACCTCCATTTCCTGTGTGTAAAGTAAGCTGAACTGGCTCAGACTGAGCATTCTAGCTCTGAATAGTAAAATAACAGTGAGGAACTCATGACCATGATACATGATGCTTTCAGATAATTTTAAATAGTTTTATAATATTGAAACATCATAGCCTGGTATAGTGGCTCATGCCTGTAGTCCCAGCACTTTGGGAGGCCAAGGTGGGTGGATCACTTGAGGTCAGGAGCTCAAGACCAGCTTGGCCAACTGGTTTCACCAGTAAAGATGGTGAAACCCCATCTCTACTAAAAATACAAAGAAAACTAACCAGTTGTGGTGGAGCATGCCTGTAGACCCAGCTACTCGAGAGGCTGAGGTGGGAGAATCTCTTGGACCCAGGAGGCAGAGGTTGCAGTGAGCTGAGATCATGCCACTGCCTGCCAGCCTGTGCGACAGAGCAAGACTCCATCTCAAAAACAGAGGAAAAAAAAAAAAGAGAAACATCATGAAAAGGTGAAGGATTGGAATGCTGATAGTTGAGGCTACAAAACCATGACATAAGTCTAGGAGTTTGGCCTTTATTCCAAGGACCAACAATTTCAAGAATTATTAATAGCACAGACTTAATAAAAAAAAATTAAAAAATCCTTTTTTGTGAAGTTCCAATATATAAAACATATGCTTTAACTCTTAAATAGTGTAGTTTAAGTTAACAGGTTTCTAAGGCAGTACCACACTTCAGTTTAGGGCAGAAAATACTTTTAGTACTAATTTTGAACTCTAATCCAGAAACTATTTTGGCTCTTCAAACATTTAACTTCGTCAAATGTATTTTGTTTTGCATCTTTTAAAACCTCGTTTCCATTTAATCACTGGTACAATATCTGCAATTCATTAGCTCAACAAATATGTGCGTGCTTGTGAGTTCTTCTGAACTCTTAAGGGCTGGGGACAGCAATAAGTTAGAATTCGATCTGTGTCTTCATGGGGCTTATATTCTGTGAGAGGGAAGGACAATAAACATATAATCCATGGTGATACAAGTGCGGTGAAGAAAATAACCCAGAGTGATGCTGTAGAGATGACATGGGGTGAGGGTGATGGATGAGATGGTCAGGAAGGGTTCTCCAAGGTCTCCCTTGGCAAGTGACATCTAAGTCAAGACTTGAATGTGAAGGAAGAAGCCAGAAGGAACAGCATGGGCAAGCACACAGAGGCAAGAAAGAGTTTGGTGTATTGGAAGAACAGGAAGAAGGGGTGTTTCGGAGTGGACAGTTAAGGAAGTGGTCAGTGAAGTGGGAGAGACAGGGAGGGGTGAAACCACTACACCTTAAAAATGATAGCGAGGTCTTTACATTTTATTTCAATTGGAGCAGGAAGCCATTGTCCAAAACCAAATAATAACTTGACCTTTTGCTTCCTATTTGAGTCTCTTTAACTTATTAAAAATAAGACATACAAGCTCATATGAGTATGTGATATTTGATAGATATTGAGTTAATATAGTTTATCAGATATTTCAAGTATTTGAAGTATCCTTACTGTTACCTTGCCTTAGGATAACTACCTAAACTCCTTACAGACTAATTGCATTATCAGAGTAATTTCTCACCTGAAAAATTTAACATTTTATATATGCAAAAGTCAGATTGAAAAAGAAAACAAAATTGTACTTAGCTCTAAAACTTTAATGGGGTATTACTGCCTTCCTGGATGTTGTAGACCACCTTCTTAAATGTGACACATTTAGCAATTCTGAATGCCAGCAGGATGTTGTAGACTACCTTCTTAAATGTGACACATTTAGCAATTCTGAATGCCAGAAGGCAGCTGGGCCATGGGGGAGAGTCCTGGCTAAGGTCAAAGTAAGACCCTGTCCCTTTCTTGCTCTTTAATTCTTGGGCAGATAATGTAGTTTCTATGACACATAATTCCTTCATTTGTAAAATGGGTCCAACAAGCTAATACATATTATTGGTAAGCTATTAGAAATCGAATGCATTTTCTCCAAATAGCCTGGGCCATTTGTATTGCCAACGTATACTTGGCATATGGTTAAGGGATTGAAGTGAAAAATATTAAATTAGAATTCAGTTTGTCCCTATTATAACTATGACCACTTCTTGGGAACAACCCTAGAGTTTATGTATATTTATACCTTGTTACCTCACTTTGTTCTTTCCAAACTCATTTTTAATAGAATTATTCCAAGAAATTTAACCCTAGTGGACACTTTCTATTCCACACAATATAACATACCCTCACAAGTACACTCCTTTTATCTGTTTCAAATGTCTGTCATACTGGGATAGAAAACAAGTTAACATACAATTTTCCTCTTTACTTATATCGAATGGTAAGGAGGCTTTTAACAAATGGCTTTATATAACAACTAGTATTGCGTGTTTAGGTAACAGGTGGATACTCAGTACTTTATTGGCAATGGTGATGAGGGAATTTTGATCTTGGAATTCCCAGCCTCCTGAACTATGAGGAAAAATATTTATGTTGTTTATAAGTGTATTATTCTGTTTCCAGACTGGGTAATTAATAAAGGAAAAAGTCTTAATTGACTCACAGTTCTTCATGGCTAGGGAAGCCCCAGGAAACTTACAATCATGATGGAAGGCAAAGGGGAAGTAAGGCACCTTCTTCACAAGG
The DNA here is from genome assembly GCF_000001405.40 of Homo sapiens. Lineage (NCBI taxonomy): Eukaryota > Metazoa > Chordata > Mammalia > Primates > Hominidae > Homo > Homo sapiens. The sequence continues at coordinate 730,808 of NW_025791814.1, read as the reverse complement.
TGGCAGGAAGGAGATTGAATGCAGGAAGTTCTACCAAACACCTAAAAAAAATGTGATCTCGTGAGAACTCCTTCACTATCACGAGAACAGCATGGGGCAACTGCCCCCATGATTCCATTATCTCCACCTGGTCTCTCCCTTGACACATGGGGATTATGGGGATAATGGGGATTACAATTCAAGATGAGATTTTGGGTGGGGACACGGCCAAACCATATCAATAAGCCATGGCATTTTGTTATAGCAGCCTGGACAAACTAAGGCAGTTGGTTAGAATACATGTTTTTAAGGCAAAGATGAGGAAAGGGAAGAATCCTGGACCTCACCATGATAACCAGATGGTTTAGACAGGGCAATACCCCTCTAAGATGCTGCTTCACCTGAGAAATGAGGAGGATAATATTGGTACAGGACTTTCAGAAGTGAGATAATGTTCAAAAGTTACAAAAGGGAGACCCAAGTATAGTCTCTTGTTAGTTTCTTAGTATTTTTGACTTTGAGATTTATTTTTTAAAGTAATAGTAAGTGACATTATTATTGCTATTACTAGCTATATCATCTATTGGCTGGTTACTGTCACCAGCACTATACAAAATCCTTTAAATATGTTACCTCATTTACTCCTCACAGTGACACCATTAAGTCAGAGCTGTTTCCCCACATTTTACATGAGGAATCTGAAGTCAGAGAGTTTAATCAACTTTCCCCATGTTCACACTGGGAGCAGAGTGGTGGAGATGGGATTTAATTCCAGCTGTAAATGCATGGGGCAGAACCCCTGCAGGGGCTCCATGGCTCATTAATGTGCCCCTCTGGCCCAAGCATGGGTTAAGAAAGTGGACCTAATGATAGAGCACTAAATAGGGGATATTCGAATCTTGCATTTATCAAAGTGCCATTGTCCATATCATGTTAATATTTTATATTTACATACTTCCATGTAAGTCGCAGACCTGGGATATGAATCTAGGCCTTTGAGCCTAGGCTTGGTCTTCCCTGTGGGTAAAAATCCTGTTGCACTTTGGGTCTATTTCTTAGTTACATTGGAGATTCATATTCAGTGTTTGGAATTTCTTACAAAATGACGGAAACTGCCTACTAATTCCCATTGATTGAAGACACAATATCTACCAATTCAGTTCTCAGGAAGAGGAGTTATTAGGTTTAAATTTATTTTTACATCTTAAAAGAAACTGCTGAGTGATAGGAGAGGAGAGTGTTAACTTGGAGTGACAGATTAAAAAAAGTGAGCCAGTTCATTTGTACATAATTTTTGGCTATGTTATCCAGACATAAGCTACCAGAGGACAAAGCAGTGTAATAAATCTAATATTCTCAAATAGTTTGTGTGCAGAAGTTTAGCAGTGAGGATGGTTTTGTAATGACCGCACATGCTAGATTGCAAACTCCATTCTTCACTATTCATGTACATTTGATGTCATATACATTGCCAAAGATGATTTCAAAAATGCCAAGCTTCTAGTCTCACTTTCCTTAGTTATGATACCTTATATCTTAAAAGGGTGGTAATTTATTAGTTGGTTTTTTGTTTTTTGTGTGTTTTTTTCTTTTCTTTTTGGAGATGGAGTCTTGCTTTGTTGCCCAGGCTGGAGTGCAGTGGTGTGATCTCGGCTCACTGCAACCTCCACCTCCTGGGTTCAAGCAATTCTCCTGCTTCAGCCTCCCAAGTAGCTGGGATTACAGGCACATGCCACCACACCCAGCTAATGTTTGTATTTTTAGTAGGGACGGGGTTTCACCATATTGGCCAGGCTGGTCTCAAATTCCTAACCTCGTGATCCACCCACCTCGGCCTCCCAAAGTGCCGGGATTACAGGCATGAGCCACTGTGCCCGAACTAATTTATTAGTTTTTATTATTTCATTTTGTTTAGATAGAAAGCATGGAGTTAAACATTAATTGTACTGTATTGGCTGCCAAAGCATAGAAATTGTATTTTGGAGGTGAGAGCTGCAGGGTGGGTTGCTGTTTCTTCACTGATTATTCCCCATGAGAAAAAAGTGACTTGTTGATTGCAATTTCGTTGTGAATAATAGTTATTTTCATGGTCTTTGGAAAACAAGACAGAGAAGTGGAGAGGGATATGGTAGCACGGCTGGGATTGTCACAGGAAATAACTTGCCCCAGTCTACTTTTTTTCATACACATACAGTTTGAGTTCCTAATTAATCAGTTGAAAAATCCAGCTCCTGAAAATATGGCTACAGAATACTGATCATTGATTGTGATTCATTTTGCTTCACATAAATGGTTGCATTTTCTTTTCAATGAGAATAAAGTTTTTCTTTTTCTTCCTCTGTCAACATAATTCCCTTTGTTCTTATTCAGTTTTCTTGTTAAATGTTTTTCCACATGTAGAATTTTACAAATTGAATAATACATGCAGAAAAAAAGAAAAACAACAACCTGTCTTTTTTTCTTTCGTCTAGGTCATGGGAGAATGAAAAACTAGAATCTTCATGAGCATTCCATACTAAATATTTGTATTAGATTATCATTATTTATTACTTTGCTAAACAACCATTTTTATCCATCACTTTTTATGAATCTATAGTAAAACAAAAGTAAACAGCCTCCATGCTTTCAACAAGGAGAGTCTGTTGCTCTAAAAATGTCCATTTCACCACAGTTTTTCCTCATCACCACTTGCTGAAACTTACTGCATTTGTTCATGTTTATTATAAAGACTTTTGCCATCCTGCTCGGTATTTAAGATTCATCACAAGGGTATTCCCCCTTTAGATGTTCTGACTAATGTTGATATTAACCATGTGACATTCACAAAGTAATTTTTTCCTGAATATATGACAGTATATATTAGGTTGGTGCAAAAGTAATTGTGATGTTTGCCATTACCTTTTAATGCCAAAATCCATGATTTTGAGCCAACCTAATATCAGAGGGGTAGGTAATGCAATTGTAAGTGAGTGTTCTTTGGAGTCAGGTAGATCCTGCCTCTTCTCAGAGCAGCTGAGGGGCCCGCCAAGGTCTGTGGCTGTAATCCTGAGTCATGTGGATCAGGAACGCCTTTAAGTCCATGCCTGGCAGCTGAAGGCATCTGCAGTTTAGATTCTCCTTGTACCAATTTTGCAAATCTCTGCAATATTGGAAGCCATGCACCCAGCTGAATGGAAGCAGGTGAAAACAAGGCCGCATGAAGTCATAGCACTGTGGGCAGCAGTGCACCAGTAGTAGCTCTTTGTGCTCAAGAATCAAATGATGACTGTTGGCAGGGATTAAAACTGGGGCTGACTGAGTGCTGGGCTTTGATCTTGCCAAATCCACTGAGACAGCTGAAATTTCATGAAAAGGTGACAAGGATTTCCTAAACCAAATGCAAATTGATGTTTAACTTTCAACTCCAGCTCACACCCAAAGGCTTTGCAAGTGCTTGAAAAAAGAATATCTGGCTTGTACATCAGAAAATGACCTTTACAATATATTTTATTTGGGCTAAAACTTGTGCTGCAGCATCACTGAAAAAAATTACTCTTACTATTTAAATGATTATACTTTTCATAAAATTTCAATGACAGAGATGCTAAGTAGAGATGATGTTTATTGAAAGGCATTCTTAAAATTTGAGAAGGATTTATCAAATGATAAACAACATTTTGTGATAAAGACTATGCATTCCCACTTATTTGGTAATGCAGCCAGTTACGGGGTACACACCATTTTTTTCTTTAACTGATGTGATAAAAAATTGTATAAAACTTAATAAACATTTTCCAACATGAATGGATGCTGTAATTAACCTATACTCACTAAAATCAGTGTGTGGATTAGCATTGTATTGGGAAAAATATGTGATTATGTGAGTTATAACCCAGATTTTGTCATGAAAATTAGATGCTTAAAGCTAAGACATGACCCTAGTGTTCTCATCAGAAATACGGGTAGATACAAATTAGATGATTTTGAGGTAATTTTCAGTTAAAAGTCTCTGATACATATCCTTTTTCATATCCTCTCCAATGGACCCTTGTTTCATTGATGAGATTATTACACGTATTAATTCGCTCCCAAAGCCTTTTTTGTATGTTTGTTGATCACAAGATTATTTTAAGTATAATAATTTTACTAGATTTAAAAATTATTTTTGAAAAGGTTGTGTCCTCTAATGTACTCCTTGAATTACTCATCTGCTCTTCTTTATTTTTGTATCTGGAATTAGTGCCTTGTTTTCCTTTTTAGATGCTGTGTGATGTGGTTACTGCCCCAAATGTTCATATTTGCTACCACTTAGAGTCCAGCCTTCTTCTGTTGTCTAATTATATGCTATTAAGACTGTCATATTGTGTTGTTAGGTACAGAAATTTGCTTTAGAAACAAACTGAGGATTGCGTAAGTATTGACATGGCAGGGTAGTGTTCCATGTGTTTCTTGGGCAAGTTGGGTTTCAAGCATGGATCTTTGTCCACACCTCTCGCACCTTCTTGGAAATATATACAGCAATGTCACCAGAAATATCTTGCACCTTAAGGCTGTCTGTCACTGTCAGCATCACTTGGAAGCTGGTCAGGAATGCAAAATCTCAGGCTCTACCCAGATCTCCTGAATCGGAATTGAACTTTAACAAATCCTCTAGTGATTATTATGCAAATGAAGTTTGAGGAGCGCTGGGCTGAAACATCCTTCTCCTTCATAACAGCTTTGGGTGGGGTGCTTCTGAACACTCTTTCCCAAGATGCAGTGTTGTCATTTTCCTTAATCAACTCTGTCTCTGGGACACAGAACAGTCAAACAAGATTTTCTGTGTTAGTCTGCTTTTATGTTGCTGTAAAGGATTACGTGAGACTGGGTAATTTATAAAGAAATAGGTTCATTTGGCTTATGGTTCTGCAGGTTGTACAAGAAGCATGGTGCCAGCATCTGCTTTTGGTGTGGGCTTCAGGCTGCTTCTGTTCACAGTGGAAGGCAAAGGGGAGCCACTGCACAGAGATCCCATGGCAAGAACAGAAACAAAAGAGCACGGACCAGGCATGTTGGCTCATGTCTATAATCCCAGCAGTTTGGGAGGCTGAGGTGGATGGATCATTTGAGGTCAGGAGTTTGAGACCAGCCTGTCCAACATGGTGAAACCCTGTCTCTACTAAAAATACAAAAATTAGCTGGGTGTGGTGGTGGGCACCTGTAATCCCAGCTACGCAGGAGACTGAGGCAGGCGAATCGCTTGAACTTGCGAGGCAGAGGTTGCAGTGAGCTGAGATAGTGCCATTGCACTCCAGCCTGAGTGACAAGAGTGAAATTCCATCTCAAAAACAAAAACAAACAAAATGAGCACAGGGAAGGTGCCAGGCTCTTTTTAACAACCAACTCTCAGGGGCACTCTCATGGGAACTAGTAGATAAATAATTCATTCTTTACTGCAAAAACACCACCAAGCCATTCATGAGGGATCCACTCCCATGACCAAAACACCTCTCACTAGGCCCCACCTCCAACACTGGGAATCAAATTTCGACCTACAACTTGGTGAGGCCAAACTATATCCAAACCGTAACACCCTCTTATTTGGTCAGTCACTACTGCTGAGAGGTGGGTGGAATAATTCTTCATTCAGCATTAAACAAGAAAAAATAGATCCTCTCTGAAATTGCCCATGTATTTTGCTGTGCTTTAAAAAAGACTTGTAGATCTATTACCACTTGTAAACTTTTGCATATGTGTTCTTTTAAGCATTTTTCTTTTTTTTTTTTTTTTTTTTTTTTGAGACGGAGTCTTGCTCTGTCGCCCAGGCTGGAGTGCAGTGGCGGGATCTCGGCTCACTGCAAGCTCCGCCTCCCGGGTTCACGCAGCATTTTTCTTTAACACTCAATAGAGTATCTTCATGGATCTAATGAGCTCCAATATTTCCCATCTCTCCAACCCTTTTTGTGCTTGTGTTAGTCCATTTTACATTGCTGTAAAGAAATACCTGACACTGGGTAAGTTGTAAAAAAAAAAAAAAAGAAGTTGATTTGTCTCGCGGTTCTACAGGCTGCACAAGAAGCATTGCCCCAGCATCTGCTTGGCTTCTGGTGAGCCCTCAGGAAGCTTCTACTTGTGGTGAAAGGCAAGGTGACATGGCCTCCCACATGACAAGAGAGGAAGCAAGAGCGAGAGGAGGGTGGTGCCAGGCTCTTTTTAACAACCAGCTCTTGGGAGCACTCTCTCTGGAATTAATAGAGCTGAAACTCACTCATTACCGTGAAGACGGCACCAAGCCATTTATAAGGATCCACGCTTATGACCCAAACACCTCCCACTGGGCCCCACTTTCAACACTGAGGGTCACACTTCAACATGAGATTTGGAGAGGACAGACATCCAAACTGTATCAGTGTTCTTGTATCTGTGGAGCATCAGAATCACCAAGATGGATTTTTGACAATTTCAGGTTCATAGCTCCCACCTACAGCGCTTCCTGGACCGAGAGAACCCCCTCCGCAGGACCTGGTAACTGTGCAGAGCTCTTCAGGGCTTCCAGGGAGCTGCCATGTTTGGGCCCTGCTGACCTGACTTTGCAGAGTCCCTGCTGCTTCTTTGAGGGAGGGAGGTGTGATGAGAACAGTGATGTTGATGAATGTAAAAGCACTTCGCAGACTGCAGCTCTCCGCACATCGCCATGGGCACCCTCTGCTTTCATTCTTCCATTCTGCGATTCTTCCTGATTTCTATGCTTTTTCTAGCACCTCACTGCCCTGCTGCCGACGCTTCTGAGATGAAAGTTGATCTCAATCCTTGTCATTCTGATAACACTCCAGCTTCACATCTTGAGATAATTCCAAGGTTCCTTTTATCTGACTTGCAGATGGATTTGCAAAATATATGTAATTCATTTATCACCTAGGCTTGACCTGGTTACTTCTACCATGAGGTAACTAGGGCTCTGAAACTGGAGTTACTGGTGCTTCAGGTGAGCTATGCCTGTGCCCCTGTGTAACACCAAGGAGCGGAACCTGACCCCAACAGGCAAGTTCATGGGAGGAATATCAGCTTCTCTGTGCTTCTTTTCTTATGGATTTTTCCATGGCACATATGGGAAGTGGGGATCAAATGAGGTCTTTTCTGACTGATACAGAATTGTTTTCCCCTACAGGTTTTTGGGGGCATAGTTCCAAGCACACTGGCAATTTTGCCTCATTCCTTAATGCAGAGGTATCATGCTTTTCAAAATACAGAAAAACGCCACTGAATTTTACTCACTTTGATCCTTTACTATCTGGGCTTTTTTTTTTTTTTAATAGACTTTATTTTTTAAAGTAGGTTTCATTTCACAGCAAAACCGAGTGGAAGGTACAGAGGTTTCCTGTACACCCCTGATCCCACACATGCACAGCCTCCCTTGTTATCAGCATCCCCCGCAAGAGTGGTACATTTGTTATCAATGAACCTGCCTTGAAAGATCATTATTACCCAGTGGACATAGTGTATATTAAGGTTCACTCTGGGTGTTTATTAGTTTCCTTGAATATTTGAAAGACTCAAGGAATTTCCTTCTGAACCAGTTTTCCAGCCAAAAGGAAACTGGCATTTTTTAAAAACTAGGACATTTTCTCTCCCTTTATCCTCTTCTCTTTTTTCCTTCCCACTCCCCTGGTAGGTCTGAGGTCCCTTAAAGTTGAGGTGAGGGTGGGAAGAGACAGGTGGGGACAGCAGAGTCAGGTGTGGTGGAAGAAGGGAGGGCAGAGGACCAGCTCGTGTTCCATGTACCAGGCCGAGAAGCATATTCGTGTCTGTGGGTTCGTTTGTGGGTTATAGTTCCGAAAGTTGATATACCACAAATACAACTCTCTGGAAATTGAACAGCCAGATACGAAATCAATGGAAATCAAACCCAGTCTGGAATTGTTAATATAATCTGTCCTCAACCCAGAAAAAGCAGTGAGTGCTTCAGATGGTACAATGTGTACTGGCCCCTGGTAACCTTTGCGTTGCTGGCTGTGCCCAGGATGTTTATTTCTTTTGCCTTACATTTATAAAATGGATCTCTTGGAAACTTCAGTACTGGTTTTCTAAACATCCTTTTGTGATTCTACTTTGTACTTGCCTGAATTCTGAAGTGATCTTTCTTCAATAGTTCATTCATAGTCAGTCATCCTTGATCTATATATATTTTTTTACTGATTCCTAAAATTTTTTGGTAAGTTTAATTCATCTCTCATCTAGTAATGACTTTAATAGTCTGTTGCAAATATCGGATTGCTTTTCCATTGCTCAAATATCAGTGTGCAGTACATATAAAGGCAATTCCTTTGTTTACCAAAGGACAGTTCCCACTAGGTTAAATCTATTGCTCCATCTGGCCCAGGGGATGGGTTCTGTTCACTTAGTGTTTCCAAATATAGGGCACTGTGTTCTAGACACTCTTGCTTCTAGTAAGGCAATGTTCAAAATATCATCTCAACTTCTAGTAAGTACTTATTAGTAAAACGCAGATGCTCTCTAACCAGAGCTCATTTTCTCCAGGTCTTATCTTTATGTACATAGTATATGTACAGAATCCCAGTGACTGCAAATTCCTGGAATATGTATTATGTGTGTTTATGTCTCTAATTTGCTATCTCTCCTTGTATGCTTAATGTTGAACTTTAAAACCACTTTTTGGGAATTGTTACAAAAGCTATGTTTACTACATACTATGTGTATATATTTATAATACATAACCTAAGAATGTGTTGCTCTTGATCCTTTCGGCTGGGACTGTTAGTTATCTTGGTCTCTGAATCTGGTTTCTGTGTATGTGAGTATGTGTTTATTTGTATATTTTGTCCCATTTTTGGACTCACAGAAAATTAAAAACCTGCAAACCGAAACTCACCGTGAAAATATTTGATATAGGTGTTTTTGGATGCATTTTAAAAATAATAAGTATTCTCATTATTTAAACACTATTGTAACACTTCAGCAAGATGCAGATTTAGGCCTGAAATCAACCACTGGAATATATGAAGAAGAACTGATTTATGGATGTTACTTTATAGAGTTTTATTATACACAGTCCCCAGGACTATATAGCCAATCCCAGTAGGGCTTAATCAGGTACCGTTAAATACTGGGCTTTAGGACCATAATCCTAAACTGCAGAATGACATTTATCTAAAGTAATTACCTTGTGACTCAACCACATTTCACTAGTATTTGCTAATCTCCCTAGCATATGGGATCTGGGAATTAAAAATAAGCAGATCAAATAAATTACATTTTATGGTATCCTTAGAGGATACAATTTGACTTTGGAATTGAAAATATGTTTGATTGCGTTACTTTGTTAATTTTTTTTACAAGGAAAAATTAAAAGAAAGAAATTCTTCTATATGAAAATGTTACTGTATAGCTTTAAAGGCAGTAAGAATAAACTCGTAGCCATGAATTACCAAACTCAATGCCTTTTTGTCTGTTTCCAGCTAACACCTGTGTCCCCTGGAAGGCTTGGGTAGCAAATGTGCCCACCTAACAGTGGGAAAAATAGCTTCTGCTGGGCTGGCAAAAGCAGAAAGTCGTATTTTGGAAAGAGTGAAGAAAAATGTCAATGCTGACCTCACACTTTCTCCCAGTTTCTGTCCCCATCCCCACTCCCCTCCTCTCACACCTGGGAGGAAGTGAGAAAGTTGCTACAGTTTAGGATTATGAACTTTGGAATAAGACAAACCTGGGTTTGAAACCTGGCTTGCCCACTAACTGGCTAAGCAAACCTGGCTCTGCTGTTTGACATTCCTGAGCCCCTATTTCTTCGCCTGTAAAACAGGGATGAGAGTGTATACCTCACCAGTTTCAGAGATAAGATTTATAAAAGGTCCTAGGTGAACACTTCTGGCTCAGAGATTGACACAAAGTGCCATAAACAGCTGCTCAGCCCATGGAACTAGCAAAAGGTGGTCTCAGTCCTGAGGGTGGGGACTAAAACTAGGTTTCCCGCCACCTCCTTGAGGCTGCAGCGCATTCCCCAGCTTCTGCCAGAGGACCACATATGCTTCTTCGTTTAAAGGATTCTCTTACGATTTAAAAGGACCTGCTTTATCCAGAGTCCTGTCTTCTTTTTCATTCCCATTGATCATTTGTGTTTTGCTGAGATGTTTTTCTATACTATATTATTCGTCTTTTTAAAAACAAAACACAGCTTTCATTTTCAATTCCTTGTTGTTTTGTATTTTATCATCTTTCTTCGAAGTCCTTTCAGTTTACTGCATTCTTCTCGCTTCTTAAATTGAATATTGAGCTAATTTGTTTCCAGTCTTTCTTTTTCAAAAAAGAAATGCATTTAAACCTATACACTTCTTTCTAATAAACACCATAGCTATGCTCCACAAGATACTTTTCAAAATCTGTTATTGTTTTTCTTTAGTTAGTCATGTAGGTACATATATTTTTCCTTTGGCTTCTGGTACATTGGGTGTTTTCCACTTACTGCATTTGGTCTTGGATTGTCTTCCAGCCCACCCGCCTTTCCTGTCCCCATTAGATGATTCTCTATTTCCTTTATTTCTTCTACTGGTGTGGAAGTTTATATAAGTTCTATTGATTTTTTTCTACTTTCCATGCTCTTTTAATTACAATTTTAAAATCTACCTTCTTTTTAACGTTCTCAGTAGTCTGTTTTGTTTTTTTTTGAGACAGAGTCTCCCTCTGTCACCCAAGCTATAGCTGTAGTGCAGTGGCACCATCTTGGCACACTGCAACCTCTGCCTCTTGAGTTCAAGCAATTCCCCTGCCTCAGCCTCCCAAGTAGCTGGGATTATGGGCGCCCGCCACCACGCCTGGCTAATTTTTGTATTTTTAGTAGAGACGGGGTTTCACCATGTTGGCCAGGCTGGTCTTCAACTCATGACCTCAGGTGATCCACCCACCTCGGCCTCCCAAAGTGCTGGGACTACAGACGTGAGCCACCCCGACCAGGCCTCAGTAGTCTTTAAAAGTTAATTTAATGTAGTCCCAGCTACTCGAGAGGCTGAGGCAGGAGAATGGCTTGAACTCGGGAGGCAGAGCTTGCAGTGAGCCGAGATCGCGCCACTGCACTCCAGCTTGGGCAACAGAGCGAGACTCTGTCTCAGGAAAAAAAAAAAAAAAATTAAACATGGTAAAGTTGGATTCTCCAAGGTAGATCTAGAATCTGTTATTCACCATTGGTTCTGGTGGATGATCTGAAGTGAAGATCCGTGTAGCACGGACCCTAGCCAATCAGGAGAGAGGCCTGACCATCAGCTGAGTACCCTGGGCCACCACGTGGCTCACAATGGCTGAATGCCCACCTTCTACGTGACATCCCACATGTGAGTGTGACACCCTCTTAGTACCAAAGAAAAATCTTCACTTTTTTTTGTGGTGAAGGTCTGATAGTAGTACATTCTTTTATTCTTATATCTGAAAACATCTTTGTTTTGCTTAATTTTTGACTAATAACATAAATGGAGATGGAATCCTATATTGACATTTATTTTCCTTCAGAATTTTTGTAATGATTTTCTAGCGACGATCTTAACTTTGTCAGTAATCTTTTTCTCTCTGATAGGTTGGAATATATTTCTCTGGCTCTGTAATAGTCTGTAGTTTCATATAGGCAAGACATGGGTTTCTTTCCTGCTTGGCTTGTAATCTTTCTAGAATCCAAGGATTCTGGCTGTTTGTCAGTTCTAGAATCTCCTTCAGATTTTAGCTCTTCAAATATTGTCTCTTCTTTCGTCTTCTTCCAGGTCTCCTATTAAAGAGACATTGGAATTTATCATTCTTTTCTCTATATCTCCTAACTTTTCTTTCATATTGCCTACCTCTACCCCTCTGTGTTATGCTTTGGGTGATTTCATCAAATCAGCTTTTTTTCCTCACTGCTTCTTTTTCTTCTGTGTCTACTCTGAAGTTTTATTGAGGTTTTTTTTTGGATCTGCTTTCAGAATCCAAATTAATTTATTATAATTTAATTATGTACCTCTGAACTTCATATGTATTGTTGCTTTCAGATGATCCAAAAAAACACAGACCCATCAGGTCTTTTGCTTGCTTTCTGTGGTGGGCTGTGGTCTGTGTGAGAATTGTTCCCCTTTGGTTATGTTGATTTCCTTTGATCCCTATAGCCCATTCCCTCTACCTCCCTCTGTCGTTACAAATGTGCTAATGTGCATCTTTCTGTGTTTTGCACAATGCATATTGTTGTTTTGTTTGCATGTGGGTTTCAATTTACATCATCAAGTTGTATTATACATCTTTCATCTTCATCCACACTATGTTTCTGGAACTCTTCCATGTCACTTGAAAATTAAATTCCTGACACCTAACTGCTGCACTGTACTCTATGGTCTCTATACTGCACATTTTATGTATCCCCATTCCCAGGGATGGATTCTAAAACTGACCAACAACCCCATCATACATCTTGCTGTGTCCATAATTTATTCCTTCCTATGGGTTCTTGTTCTCGCTGACTTCAGGAGTGAAGCCGCAGACCCTCACAGTGAGTGTTACAGCTCATAAAGGTAGTGTGGACCCAAAAAGTGAGTGGCAGCAAGATTTATTGTGAAGAGCAAAAGAACAAAGGTACCACAGTGCAAAAGGGGTCCCACGCTGGGTGCTGCTGCTGGCTCCAGTGGCCAGCTTTTATTCTCTTATTTGGCCCTGCCCACATCCTGCTGATTGGTCCATTTTACAGAGCACTGATTGGTCCATTTTACAGAGTGCTGATTGGTCCGTTTTACAGAGTGCTGATTGGTCTGTTTTACAGAGTGCTGATTGGTGCGTTTTTACAGAGTGCTGACTGGTGCATTTACAATCCTTTAGCTAGACACAGAGCGCTGATTGGTGCATTTACAATCCTTTAGCTAGATGCAAAAGTTCTCCAAGTCCCCACCCTACCCAGAAGCCCAACTGACTTCACCTCCTATTGCTACAGTGAACATCCTTGAACTTGTCCCTTTCTGAAGGTGTGTAAGAGTGTCTCTGGGCTATTCACAGAAGGGTTTAACTAGATACTGCCGGATACCTCTAGGCTGTGACGGTGTTAGCCTGCACTCTATTTTTCTCAGTGCATGAGGGTTCTTCTGTTCCTATATACTCACCAATCCTTGCAAATACCTGGTTTTCTAATGTAATGCCCAACTTTGTTTTTACTAACTCTGTTTTTAGGCTTGTTTCCACCTGAATTGATTCTCCCTTAGCTAAGAGAGCCAGATAGACTCCATCTTGGCTCTTTGACTGGCAGCCCCTTCCTCAAGGACTTAACTTGTGCAAGCTGACTCCCAGCACATCCAAGAATGCAATTAACTGATAAGATACTGTGGCGAGCTGTATCCGCAGTTCCCAGGATTTCGTCTGATTGATAACGCCCAAAGCCCCGAGTCTATCACCTTGTAGTAGTCTTAAAGCCCTTGCACCTGGAACTGTTTACTTTCCTGTAATCATTTATCCTTTTAACTTTTTGCCTACTTAACTTCTGTAAAATTGTTCTAACTAGACCCCCCTCCCCTTTCTAAACCAAAGTATAAAAGAAAATCTACCCCCTTCTTCAGGGCCGAGAGAATTTTGAGCGTTAGCCGTCTCTCGTCGCCGGCTAATAAAGGACTCTTAATTCATCCCAAAGTGTGGCGTTTTCTCTGACTTGCCTGGATACAACATAATGGAGGCCCCAGCAAGATATTAACGCCACTGGGCGAGAGCCAGTCTCGCTCCGGGCTCCCCCGGAAGGACAGCCGGCTCGGAGGGGGGCGCCACCTGAGGAAACAATTTTCAGGTCCCCAAAGAGTGACCGTCTTCCGGAGGAGAGCGGATCGACTACCGTGTCAGTGCCCTAAAATTCAACATCTGAGTCCTCAGCTTCTCACCCCGGGGTCAGGTAGGTCAGATTTGACTTTGTTCTGGTTCTGGTAAGAGGGAAGCGGCCTGGTCGCCGGCTAATAAAGGACTCTTTTTTTTTTTTTTTTAATAAAGCTTTTGAGTAAATAATTTTATATTTTCAAATTTCTCCATAATAAGGGATGGTGAATGAATATATAATACATAAATAAATGAATATTCATTTATATATCATTACATATATTTTGTTCATAATATATGAATGAATGGATGAATTAATTTATAAATTTATGATATATAAATTCACATAGAATTTTCACTAAGATACCCTCTCGTGCCCTTTCCAATTTGCATCTTATTTTTTTTTTTATTTTATTGTTATTATACTTTTAGGGTACATGTGCATGACGTGCATGTTTGTTACATATGTATACTCGTCTCAAAGTGTGGCGTTTTCTCTAACTCGCCTGGGTGCAACGCTAATTGTTGATAGATGCAAAGGTATAAAAAGATATTTCGTGATCTTAGCCCTTTTTATGATTATTAGTTAATTCTAGGAGTTTTGAAATAATTTATTTGAACCTTACGTAAAAATTGCGCATTTATATCTTTTCATTGTGCTCCTATGGGGCTTCCTGTCTTCTTCTGTTGGATTTTTCAGGAGTTCTATATATATATTATAAGTATTAAATTTTGTTGATTTTAGATGTTGCAGGTGTCTTCTCCCATTCTGCCACTATCTTAACTTGTCTCTGTTCTCCTGTGTTAAACAGAAACTCATGGTTTCTCTTAAATGATTTTTTGAATTATAATTTATATACAATAAAAGGCACTGATCATTTTTTAGCTTAATATGTTTTGTCATTGGAAGACACCCAAGTTGACACCACCTAAAACAAGATGTAGAACATTCAGTTAACTGTCCCCAAAGAAGATTCCCTTGCTCCCATAATTATCAGTGTCCCAGCCTGCACCCAACCCAGATGCAATCCTTTCTGATTTGAACACAAATTAGTTTTACCTGTTATGTAAATAGAAGCAAGTGGTATGTATTCTTAGGTATCTGATTTCTTCTTTTAAATTATAATACTTCTGAAATTCACACATGTTGTTGCTGATTTCAGAACTTTGTTTCTTTTCTAAACATTTTTCCTATTCTGTTGCCAGACTTTTGGGCTGTTTCCAGGGATTGACTAATAGGAGAAAGGCTGGTATGAATATTTTTGTAGAAGCCTTTTTGTGAACATATGTTAGGATTTCTCTTGGGGAAATACTAAGTGGGATGGCATGTTTAACTTTATAAAACTTCTAAAAGGTACCACTTAAACTCTTGCCAGAAATGTATGATAGTTCTTGTTGCTCCATATTCTCTCCAACTTTTCATCCCAACAGTATTTTAAATTTTAACCAATATAGTGTGTATGAGATGGTATTGTATTATTGTTTAAATTTGTCTTTATCTAATTACTAATGATGCTGTTACATGTGCTCATTGGACGTGATATGTCTTCTTCTGGGAAGTGACAATTCAGGTCATTTGCCTAATTTTTCTTGGGTTGCCTTCTTACTACTGAGTTGCAAGAGTTTTTTTTTTTAATATATTTTGGGTATGAATCTTTTGTCAAGTATAATATTTTGTTTTTAATTTGTAGCCTGCCTACCTATTTATTAGTGATGCCTTTCAATTAGCAAATTTAAAAAATTGATGAAGCCTAATTCTTTTATTTTTCTCTAGTTAATTTTAACATAAGGAGTTGAGTCGGACTCAAGGTTTATTTCCCTCCATCTATTTATCTGATTCTTACAATATTATTTATGAAACAGGCTTTCATCCCCTGTCACCTAATTGGCTTTGCACCTTGATTTTTAAAAAGAGCCGTATATGTGTAGATCTCTATTCTATTCCCGTAATCTAATTGTCTGTCTTATGCCAAAACTACACTGTCTTAATTATATATGTTTCATTCGCGTCCGTGTGAAGAGATCACCAAACAGGCTTTGTGTGAGCAATAAAGCTTTTTAATCACCTGGGTGCAGGTGGGCTGAGTCCAAAAAGAGTCAGCGAACAGAGATGGGGTGGGACTGTTTTATAAGATTTGGGTAGGTAAAGGAAAATTACAGTCAAAGGGGGGTTGTTCTCTGGAGGGCCGGAGTGGGGGTCACAGGGTGCTCAGTGGGGGAGCTTTTTGAGCCAGGATGAGCCAGGAGAAGGAATTTCACAAGGTAATGTCATCAGTTAAGGCAAGGACTGGCCATTTTCACTTCTTTTGTGGTGGAATGTCATCAGTTAAGGCAGGAACAGGCCATTTTCACTTTTGTGATTCTTCAGTAACTTCAGGACATCTGAGTGTGTATGTGAAGGTCACAGGGGATGCGATGGCTTAGCTTGGGCTCAGAGGCCTGACAATATGGTTGTTCTAGAAATCAAATTGTATAATTGTTTTGAGATGGTAGTGATTACTAATGTTTTATTGCAGTCTTAAAAATCAGGTACCTTAGCCAGGTGCAGGGGCGGGCACCTGTAATCCCAGCTACTTGGGAGGCTGAGGCAGGAGAATCCCTTGAACCCAGGAAGTGGAGGTTGCAGTGAGCCAAGACCCTGCCATTGCACCCAGCCTAGGCGACAGAGCAAGTCTCCGTCTCAAAAAAAAAAAAAAAAAAAATCAGGCACCTTATGTGATTCTCTTTTTTGACATTGTTTGGCTTTTGAAATGTATTATCTTGCCCTACTGCACTACCTAAGACTTCTTGAACAATGTTGAATATTGATTAGAAGTGACTAAAAGTGATGAGTGAATACCTTTGCCTTGTTCCTAACCCTAAGGGGAATGTTTCCAATAATTCAGTGTTAGATATCATGTTATTTGTATATCTTCTGTAAATGCCCTTTATCAGATTGTGAAAGTTCTCTTTTATTCTTAGTTTTTTGAGTATTTCTCATAAAAGAAGCTGAATGTTGTCAAATGCTTTTTCTACATGTATTGAGATAGTTATATAATTTTTCTTCTTTAATCTGTTAATGAAATGAATTATTTTGACTGATTTTTAATGTTAAGCCAATTTTGTATTAGAAAATAAACTTGACATGGTCATGACCTGTTATTCTTTTTAAGTTTATAGCATCCAATTGCTAATATTTTAATAGATCTTTGTGTATTGGACCATAAGGGATATTTTTCTTTTTTCTTAAACTTATAATGTTTTTTGTAGGTTTAATATCTGGGTCGTGCAGTCTCAGAAAGTCATTTGGGAAGTGTTCCCTCCTCCTCTATTAAAAAAAAAATTGTGAAGGATTGGTAATTGGTATTACGCCTTCCTTAGATATTGACATCTAGTCAGGAGTTTTTTCTTTTATGTTTTTGTTTTATTTTATGGGAAGGCTTCTGATTACAAATTCCATTTCTGTAACAGGTATTAGGCTATTTAGATGTTCTATTTTTTCTTGCATCAGTTGTGATAAGATGCGTTTTTAAAGGAATCTGTTTTATATAAGTGGCTGTATCTTTAATGGCATAAAGTTGTTTATGATATTCCCTTATTTTTAATATCTGTAGAACCTGGAGAGATGCTACTACTTTTATTACTGATATAGATTCTTTTCATTTTTTCTTGACAATTTTTCTAGAAGTATACCAATTTTATTAAACTGTCTTAAACAAATTTCTCACATTGTTAATTTTCTTTTATGTGTTTTCATTTTATTTCTGCTGTTTTTATTATTTCCTTTCTTATATTTTAGTTGTTTTTCTTAGCTTATTAAAAGCTAAAACTTTTTGTTTTACAACTTATTATTTTCAATTCAAATAGGGAATTAAAGCTATGAATCTCCCTCTATGCACCACCTTCACTGCCTTTCACATTTTGATATGTTGTGTTTTCATTTTCATTCAATTCAAAATATATTTTATTTTTCCCTGTGGTTTTTCTATAGGTCATCATCTGTTTAGAAACATGTTGTTTAATTTTCAAATATTTGAGTAGTTTTAAAGCTATTTATTTTCATTTATTTCAAGTTTATTTATTTATTTATTTGAGACAGAGTCTTGCTCTGTCGCCCAGGCTGGAGTGCAGTGGCGCCATCTCAGCTCACTGCAAGCTCCACCTCCCGGGTTCACGCCATTCTCCTGCCTCAGCCTCCTGAGTAGCTGGGACTACAGTCACCCGCCACCGCGCCCGGCTAATTTTTTTGTATTTTTAGTAGAGACGGGGTTTCAATGTGTTAGCCAGGATGGTCTCGATCTCCTGACCTCATGATCTGCCCGCCTCGGCCTCTCAAAGTGCTGGGATCGATTTTAATATTATTGTTTTCAGCTATCATACTTTATATGAATTTTATCATTATGATTTGCTGGGGAATTTTTCATGTTGCAGAATGTGATTCATCTTAGCAAGTGTTTCATGTGATCTTCTCAAGAAATTGTAGTGTATAGTTGTTGAGTGGAGTATTCTATTAGAGATAATTATGTAAATTTTGTTGACAGTATTAAAATCTCCTATGTTCTTTGATTTTTGGTCTACTTGTTTTATCAGTTATAATGAGAGGCATATTAAAATCTTCCATGGTGAATGTGAGCTTTTCAAAAGCAACATTCTTCCTTTAGTGCTGTCAAGTTTTGTATCATGCATTTTGAATCTCTTTATTAGGTTCATACACATTTAAGATAATTACTTCTTCTTGATGGAGTGACTCTTAGCATTAGAATATACTCCTTTTTCTCTCTGGGTTACTATTTGTCTTG
Organism: Homo sapiens; assembly: GCF_000001405.40. Lineage (NCBI taxonomy): Eukaryota > Metazoa > Chordata > Mammalia > Primates > Hominidae > Homo > Homo sapiens. The sequence goes on along the minus strand of NW_025791814.1, from coordinate 712,284 downwards.
AATTGTACTCGGTCAGATATAAACATAGCCGTCGAGATTTATGATGCATAGTGGTTGGATAGTATGTCAGTTTTCAACATTTTATTTTCAAATATCTATCTCTTTATGCTCTAAGTGTTTCTTGTAAAAGTCATTTATTTGAATCTTATTTTTAATTAGTATGTAAGTGGTATTTCATTTATATTTAATGTAATTATCAATACAATTGTATTTAAGTATTTTACCAGTATTTGTTTCTCTTTCTTATTTCCTGCCTTATTTTGCATAATCCAGCAATTAACTTTTTAAATATACTTTGTGTTATTTTTTAGGAGTTTGCTAGAAATTACAGTATGTATACTTAACTATCATAGTCTAATTTTCAATTATACTAAACTTTAAAAAAATCTAAGACTATCACAATTATATAATTCTATTCTCTCATTCTTTGTATTCTTTTGTTTCACTGTATTCTATAAAACTTATAACACATTGCTACTGGTTGTGCTGAAATGCATATATATGTACACACAAACACACACACACACACACACACACACACACACCCACACACACACATGTTGAGTATCCCTTATCCCAAGTGCTTGGTACCAGAAATGTTTTAGATTTCAGATCTTTTAGGATTTGAATTTGCATTTGCATTATATACTTAGTAGTTGAACATCCCTAATGAAATGTGCAATTCTCCAATGAGGATTTCTTTGGAATGCCATGTTGGATCTCAAAAAGCTTCAGATTTTGGGCCAGGTGCAGTGGCTCACACCTGTAAACCCAGCACTTTGGGAGGCTGAGGTGGGCAGATCACCTGAGGTCAGGAGTTTGAGACCAGCCTGGCCAACATGGCAAAACCTCATCTCTACTAAAATGGGAATATTTCAGATTTTGGATATTTGGACTGGGGATGCTCAACCTTTAATATGTGCTTAATATATTATGCAACATGTATGTCTGTATACAAACAAACACACATGTATATTAAATATAATAAGTAGGTCCTTTATTTTTACCTATATGTTATACTACCTATGTTTTCATTCTTTCCTGCAGATTTGAGCTTCTATCATGTATGATATTCTTTCAGCCTGCATTTCTTTAAGCATTTCTTGGAGCACAGGTTTTTTGGCTAAAAAAATCTCTGAGTTCTTCTCTAGCTGAAAATGTCTTTACTTAGCTTTCATTTTCTTAAACTGATACATATTAGATGTCCATATCTTCAGGATACATGTGATTTTTTGAAGCATTCATATCAAGTGTAAAGATCAAATCAAGGTAATTGAGATATCTATCACCTTGAATATTCATATTTTATTTATGAGAAGAATATTTGAATTGCTCTCTTCTATAGCTTTTATTTTTTTATTTATACTTTGACTAAATGTAGAATTCAATGTAGAATTCTATGTTGACAGTTTTTTTTCAGCATTTTGAATTTTTTTTCCATTGTGAGGAACTCATCCATCATTCTTTTCATACTTCCCCTAAATATAACATGGGCTATTTTTTCTTGCTACTTTTAAGATTTCTTTTCAATTTTTTTTTCTTTTAAGGTTCACCTCTGATGTACCTAGGTGTGATTTTGAAATAACTTTTTAAAATCTTATGTTGTGGTTTGCTAATCTTCTTGGGTATGTACCTTGCTGTATTTCCTTAACTTAAAAAATATTGGCTATTGTCTCTTAAAATATTTTTTCTCCTGTATCTCTCTTCTTCTTCTGGGATTCCAATTGTTTATATTGATTGATATTTTTACACAGGTCTTGGATGCTTTGTTTTATTTTTTTCATGTTTAATTTCTTTGTGTTTTATTTTAGATATTGTCTATTGGCCTGCCTTTGATTCTTTTCTCTTCTATGTCCAGTCTGCTATTAAGCCCATCAAATGAATTCTTCCTACCTAGTATCATACAGTTACGTCCTGATAGTTCCATCTGAGTTTTGCTTTCACCGTTTGCTTCCCATGCTGTAGTTCTTCACCTGTTCACACGTGTCAGTATTTTCCTCTAGAGCCTTCATCGCAGCTACAAAGTTCCTGAGTGATAAATCAAACATCTGGGCCATTTCCATATTTGTTTCTGTTAATGAGTTATCTTTTAAACATGGGCCTTGTTTTGTTGTTTCTTTGTGTGTCTTGTGACTTTCTGTTTTATGCTAAACATTGTGTGCAGATTGAAGTAAGGAATGTTTACCTTGCCCTTGCAGGAAGGACATGCTCCTTCTGTCCTTCTGTCGGGCTGGTGATGTGGGGCTGAGTCAATCTGACATGTGGCTGGGCTGTGCTGGGCTCTGTTGCAGAGTTAGGATCCTGAGCTAGATTCTCTTTACCTTGGGTTCACATGGTGTGAAGGTGGGGTCAGCACTTTGCCTTCAGAAGGGCTTGGGATCTGAGCACCAGCCAGACTCTTTGAATCTTTGTGCTTTACTGACCAGTAACCAGCTTTCCAAACTGTGGGAGATCTCTTTCTGCTTTACAGCTTGCCTGCCAGCTCTTTGAGTTTCTGGGGCATTCTCTTTGCTCTCTAGACCTGTTCTTGACTTTCTGTACCTGGGGAGATCTCTTTTTGCATCAATGGACTGCCCTCAGCCTTTGAAGGCCACTGCAGGGTACTTGGGGAATGCAGAGATCCACCTCAGTTCTCCTGCACTCATCCCAGCTTTTGGCATTCATTTTGTTCACTACATTTGTCCTTGCTTCCTTACGTTCATACCACAAATTTTTTTTTCTGCTGTTTGCTAATTCTATGTTCTATATATTATTTTTATATTTTAAATTTATATTTTGCTCTCTTGACATCTGAAATCCAGTGTGAACACACAAAAAATAAGTAGGAAAAACTCCAAGTTTCATAAACCTTACCTAAAGAAGTCATTTCTAATTTATTCATAATTGAAGCTCCTGAAAGGTCTGATACAGCTCTGGTACAAGGGAGGTATGTCAGTCAGGGTCCACCACAGGCACAGAACCAGTAAGTTATATAGGGGACAGATAGAAATCTGAAGAGGAAGCGCTTGAAGTGTTTTTAGGAATTGGCAATTGCTGTAGCAACTATGGGGCGGGGCTGAGAGTGTCTGAAATCCGTAGGGCAGGCTGTCAGAAAGGGCTGGCTAGAACTCCCAGGCAGGAGCTGATGCCGCAGTTCACAGGAGCAATTTTCTTCTTTCTCAGGGAAGCTTCAGTTTTCCTCTTAAATCTTTTCGACTGATTGAATGAGGGCCACGTAAACGATCAAAGACAATCTCCTTTACTTAAAGTAAATTGATTACAGCTGTTAACCACACCTACACAATAACCTTCATAGCAACACCTAGATAAGGGTTTCATCAAATAACTGGAAACTATAGCCTGACCCAGTTGATACATAAAACTGTTTATCACAAGAGTAAGGGTCTATTCCACAGTGTGGCACAGTATGTGTTAAAGAATAAACTGTAAGGAAGAAAATAAATGGAAGCAAGAAAATGAAAGGGCTGTGAATCCTGACATCATCCAACAGCAAGGCACCCTGGGGCCAGCTCTCCTGCACAGTGGGTAGGTCTGTGTCCAGTTGAGGGACCCTCCTGCACCCAGTGACTCTCCCTTCTTGTAAGCCCCAAAGAAATGCTACTAGGCAGGGGGATAAACAGCCTATCTGGGATTAGGCATCAGCTGTTACTGGAGTTGTCTGGGACAGCCAGCTGCCCAGCACCTGGAGATGCTGAGGCCCATGGGAATATGTGGGCCCTGCTGCCAAGGGAAGAGGCCTCCTGCTACAGCCCTCGTGGTAACAGAAAGGAGGACCCCCTTCTTCCAGTTGGCTCATTGTCTAGCCTGCCCTGAGTGAGCTCCTGGGGCCTCTCTCACATCATTCTGCCCACTGCACAAAATTGTCTGCTTATAGGGCAGACATTAAAATGCTGGTATTTTATTCTCAAAGTGTAAGATTATTATTTATTTTTATTTTGCCTTTCTACCCATCTGTATTTACTAAAACTTTTACTATGTGACTATATTAATTCTATAATAAAAATCAATATAACTTCCAGCATTTTAAATAAAAATGGAGACAAGTTTATATTCCCCGAGGAAGAAAATATCATTTTAATATTTTGTATTTTCCATAAGTCTCCACATATAAATACCTTAAGCATCTCCTTGAATGTACAGCCTGGAGTGTTTCTGTGCCTGCAGTGGTCTGTGGGAAGGACAAAAAACACCCTAAGACCTGGGAGAACTCCTTTTTGGAGGCAATGGGGTAGCTTGTATAATCAGAATATTGGAAATGATTAATCCAAATTCATTGTCTTTTTTCAACTAGACCAGCAATCTTAAAGAAAAAAAATATATATATTTGAACCATACTAACACACTGTGCTTTAATAAGGATAGACAAGTAACTTTGCTAATATGCTCTCTTTCTCCTTGCTTCTTGGGAAACTGTCAGAATGGTATAAAATTTAGATAAGATGTTGTGACTTAGAAAAGAATTTGATACAGGAAGAAGGGGGTGGTACACATGCATTCCCCATTCATTGCTAAATGCTTCAATCAAACATAGTTTACGTATCAGAAATGGAAAGAAGAAGAGACAGGAAAACATACTGATTATCTACACTATCAAGAACACTAGAGGCGGAGGTTGCAGTGAGCGGAGATCGCGCCACTGCACTCCTGCCTGGGCAATAGAATGAGAGTCAGTCTCAAAAAAAAAACCAAACAAAAAAACACTAGATCAAGAGTGGTAGTTTTGTAGAGAATAAATTCTTATAGAAAGGAACAAAATATCCTAAAGACTGAATTTTAATGTTTTTGAAACTAGTGTTTCTGATAATTTTCAAATCCATGCCATTTAACGAGGAATAGGCAGAGTGCTTATGTTATGCCTGATGCTAATCTAAGTTTGGGAATGCTAACACATTAGCAAACAAAACATCCCAGCCCTTGACCTTGTGGAGCTGGCATTCCCGTGAGGGGAGACAGATGTTGGGCCTGATGAGTAAGTCCATTGTAGAATATGTTCAGAGTGATAAGTAGGGGGAATGAGATGAGGAGGGGCATTTGGGGCGTATGGATAATTATAGAGACAGATGTTTGTCTGTGTTCCTTGAAGTGGGGCTTCTTTGGTTTAGTGCATTTACTAGTGGATAACTAATAAAAAACGGCTGCAGTCCCTTGAGCCTTATTTCACTTGGATGTCCATTGTCTTCTAGAGCAAATTGTTATTATTTGGTGTGGAGAGGAGATGCGGAAACGCAGAGCTCTGGCTGTGTCCTGAGCACTAAACCAGGCACTTTCATTTCCATTTCCTTCGTCTTAGCAAGGAAGACAAGGAGGCATTAAGCAGCTAGCTACCTTGCACAAAGGCCGTTCAATTAATGGGTGGTGGAAGACCGGGAGGCCCCAAAGCCGGGGCCAACTATTTGCTAGGCACAGTAAGTTCAGTGTCTGAAACCAGGATACGTTTTGGAGCCCATGACAATTGTTTTAATTTCTTTTAAAATCAGAAGGAAAAACATATGTAATCCAGCCTGATTGTATTTGTCTTTATACTTACAGAGTCATAAAATGTAACACTGATTTTTGGGGAGGGAGGACCCATGAGCATCTTAACATGGCCCTGCTTATGTGTCTTTAATAATTCTGTTGCCTACACCCCTTCTGCTTGTTGTTTCTTGGCATTTCTCCTTCGCACTGAAAGGATGCTTGTGCTTACGGACTTGGGTCATCTTCAACCTGTGTCCATCCCCACTTTCCTGTGTCTCACAGAGGGCCAATGAAGCCAAGGCTGTTGTCAGCAAGTATGATGCTCAGCATTTGGTAGGGTGCAACACATATTTGTTCAATGAGTGAATGAATGAGCAAATACATGAATACATGAGTGGAGGAACCTGGCAATAGCAGTAGTGGTGGGTGGGGGGATATTTACTTCTCTTCCTAGCAGACTTTTTTTCAAAGAAATGTGGCATCAGCCCACTGAATGTTCCAGCCAATGAAATTATTTTCAAAGCATTCTGTGTCACAAAGCCCATATGGCTCTGAACTAAAGGGAGAATTAGAAATAATCTGAAACTCAGTTAAAGATAAGTTTGCTAAATCCAGTGCATGATGAATTCAAATTACTTTTGCATAATGAATAATGTGTTGGGTGGTGAGTAGCGGTGTGAAAAGCTAAATTGTGATAAACGCAAGCTTGCAAGAGTCAATGAATGTCTGGAGAGTCTTAAACTACTTAGGTGCAGTTGAAGGTCAAAAGTTCAGCAATGTCTGGCAGAGTAGATCACATGGGATTCTCTTGATTATGTTAGTAAGATTTTATGATATTACTTTCAGTGTCTTGTCTTCTCTGGATGATGGCTGGTAAGCATGTTTCAGGCCATGGCATTCTTGTTATGATGTCTCCAGAGAGACTCCCCAGCATCACTAGCCATCTAGGGTGGCCGTTTCTGAGCGTCAACAGTGCCAAAGCTTCTGCCCTGTCTCCCAAAGCACATGCTTACAGCAGGCTAAGGAGAAAACCCTGAAACATGAAATGTAGGACAATAATAATATATGTGAAAGAGGAAAAAGGATGACATCTTAATGACTGATTTAGCAGAGAGGGTTTACAGAGTTTGGCTTACGTCTAGACTTAAACCCTTTTGGTTTGAGAAGTCATGTTTTAGTTATCTTTATGTGCCGTTTTTCATGAAGCTTCTCTTGGCTGGGGTGTAAAGTTGATATAAAAGGGTACATGTTGTTGGTTCATGCGTTCATGCTGGGGGACCTGCATGTGTGGAAATGACAGGAGTGACAAGAGTCCAATTTTACAAAATAAACTGGGACTCTGAAGTTTTGGAGGCAGACATTTGTGATTCCTTCTGTGTAGTTGAAAGTGATTCACCTGGCGGTATTTTCCCTCTGTTGAAGTTGAATCCCCCTTTCCATGTGATGTTAAGGATGCATGTGGACAGGCAATATGGCCCTTCTTCAGATAAGACACTCTGGGCTGCTGGCTGCGGTTCTGGGACATCTTGAAGCCCCCGAGGCACTGAGTGTGAACATGTGGGTGCTGATGATAATTCAGAAGCTATTTAGAAGGTAGGGACAGCAATGGAATTTTGTGGAAATTAATTCCAATGTAAGTGTGATATGTCACTTATCCAAGGGTGTTCCTTATGTGTGACCTATTTCTATGACATCAGTGGCATGAGGCTTCTCTGTGAACATATTAATATCTTGGCATTCTTTGGTTGAGATTAGCATCAGTCAGAAGCTGTGGATAGGCTAGAGTCAGCTCAAAAACCCCTGATCACCTACCCTGACCCCTGAGAGTTTATTACGTAGTCACAGATGGCTTCTCTGTTCTATAAGAGTAGAACTTCCTCTTCATGGTCTTCTTCGAGCTACAGTGTCTCTAATTTCCCTAAATGGCTGCTCAACTGTCAAGAGATGTAAGCCCTATTAGCCGCATTGGCCATTCAGCTATAGACACCCAGTAGCCATGGTGGGTAGCAGAGCAGGTCTGGCTGGAGAGGAGAAGCCAGTACCTCGGCTACTGGAAGGCAGCAGGCATACAAAGGCTGCACTTCTTGGCTCCTGTCTTATGTCTTTACTTTGTTGTCTTCACAACATGGCCTTAAAGTATTTTGGAAATGGCACCGTGTTGGGTCATGTGTGTCAGGGGAGCAGTATCCTCCCCTCCACCTCTGCCCATCCCACCTGGGCCTCTTCCCTTCCAATCTCCAGGTGCTCACCTTGGAGGCACAGGGAGCAACTAGGTCTGTACAGCACACCTTGCTGGCACACCAGTTCTCCTTATTGCCAAGCAGCTTCTCACCCTAATTAGGTATTAAAATAAACTTGCATTTGTTATGGAAAGAATGTGGCTTTGTGTGTTTTTAAGGCAAGACACAAAATTTTAGGAAATTTTATTTCTTGACTGGCAGAATAGGACACAGAAGGGTCTAGCCTTGGCAGGTTCCCGTTTCACGTGCTCATTCCATTTAGTCTTGAAAACAATCCCATGAGTAGAGACAGACCTAGAGAAAGGAACAAAGTGGCTCAAAGTGACCTTTTTGTAGGAGGCAGGGTTGGCAGGATCCAGGCGAGATACTTGGTGCTGTCCTCAGCCCTAAGTCCATGCCCCAAAACAGGTCAAAGGAAGGCCAGAAGTATTGATAGAGAAGTAGAGGAAGGAGGAGGGTGGTGGGAGGTCAACGCTGAGTAAATAAAGCAACACTGCCTCTTCCCTCTAGCTTCTTTGTGTGCATAGTCAGAACAATTTCTCCAAATTTACTCTGAAGATTAGTTACTGGCATCCGTGAAGAACTTGGAAGGGACAAACGTACCATTGTTTTCATTTTTGTTCCTCACAGGAAAATTCATACTCTCAAAATCATTGTTTTTTCCCCTGCAGTGGTCTGTTTTGTAGAGTTCCCTAACCACTTTGTTTCCAGTGGTAACTGTGTACTTTCCTCTGACACAAGATTTTAAGGAAAAGAAACTACCAAAGATGTTTTATGTTGATTTCTTTTTCCATATTTAGGACTGCTGACCAAGCACATTTATTGTGGTTATCATTAAATGTTTGACATTTACAAACAGCAGGGCACAGAGTACGCATCTCTCAGATGGGCGGGAAGCCTGAGAACCAAGGGCTTTCAGCCGCGTGCCTTTTGCATGGCTGGCCTTGCTCACAGCTCTGCTCTCACTCTGCCTCCCTTCTCCCCTGAAATGTGCTTTTTCATAGGAGGCTCTTTCTGTTTTGGTTTTCCTGTTTTTATGGCTCTGCTTCTAAACATATAACTATATATAAACATATAAACATATATAAACATATAAACATATATAAACATATAACTATATATACACATATAACTATATATAAACATATAAACATATATATAAACATACAAACATATATAAACATATAACTATATATAAACATATAAACATATATAAACATAACTATATACACACATATAACTATATATAAACATATAAACATATATATAAACAAACATAAACATATAACTATATATACACATATAACTATATATAAACATGTAAACATATATATAACATATAAACATATAAACATATAACTATATATAAACATATAAACATATATAAACATATAACTATAAACAAATAGATATATTTTGTTTTACAAATTTTTATTTTGTTTTATACATATATAAACAAATATATATATATATTTCAAAATATAGATAGTATTATCATTGATCTGGTGGAACTCTGAGAATTTCTGGATTGAAGTTCTCAGAGTTCCACCAGATCAATGATAATACTACCTGTATTTCAAAATATAGGTAGTATTTCTGCTGCTTCTCTATGATGTGTTAGTAGTAGATCTCTTGATCTCAGGTGACTTCAAGCTGGGAGACAAACTATCTTTGTTTAGCAAGGACAGAGAAGTTAACCAGTTGCATGACTTTCAGTAAAAAAAATGAGAGAGTCCTGGACAAACCAAGACAGTTGGTTGACCTGTGAGTGGTTTCAGTGTGCAAGAACACACTGGCAGTTTTGACATTTTGAGATGTGGTGGCTCTCCTAGATAATAAACTGTCTTCCACTTCTGTGTAAGCTTTTCTTAGGGATAACTCACCCTGCTTCAGCAAATCCGGGCGATTGTCTCTATCAGCCAAATTCTGCACATGTAGCCTCTGAATCTAAAATAAAAATTGAAATAAAAAGAAAAATATAAGATGCTTTGTTTTTGCGTCTCTCTCTCCTAGCCGTTGACTTTTAGTGCATGTCGTGCAGGCGACAGACGTATTGCTGCCCTTTCTGTCTCTGGTCCTTTTTCTAGGGCAGGATCCAAGTAGTTTTTGTGAGCATTGCAGCCAGGGATCATTTCCTCTTTCCCTTTTAGGGCCACAATAGTGACCTCCAGCAGCACTGGGTACTGAAATACAGGGCTTTGGCTTTCCCAGGCTCATACACATAGCAGAGCGTCTGGTTTAAGGTCTGTATAATTTTGTGTAATTATATTCAATTGCTCACTCAATCTCTGATCACTTTCTAATGAGCTGTTATTTTCAGAGGTAGTAGAAAAATCAGTTCAGGAAGAGATGATGATGTGAGAGAAATAAATAGCAAATGACTAGTGAGGAGAAATTACACAGTAAACATGATGCTGAGCTTTCTCTGAGTGAGTGGTGTGTCTAGGGAGGTGTATTATGAAGTACATTGCTATGAAGAACGGCCTGAGACTGGGTAATTTATAAAGAAAAGAGGTTAATTAGCTCACAGTTCCACATGGCTAGGGAGGCCCCAGGAAACTTAACAATCATGGCGGAAGGGGAGGCAGGCACATCTTACATGGCCTGAGAGAGAAGGTGAGAGAGCATGTGAGAGTCTGGGAAAAACTAACATTTATAAAACCATCAGATCTCGTGAGAATTCACTCACTATCATGAGAACCGCATGGGGGAAACTACTGCATTGATCCAGTCACCTCCCACCAGCTCTATCCCTCAACACCTGGGGATTACAGTCAAGATGAGATTTAGGTGGGGACACAAAGCCTAACCATATCAGGAGGGGTGTGTTAGTTGAGCAGACACAGAAAAGCAAAACATTTGAGCCCAAGAGTGGAACCCATCCCTTATAAGGAGAGACCACGATGTGGGGAAAGTCAGTGAAATGGACATATGGCTAAGTTTGTTTAGTGTTTGAAAATGTCACCGAAGTCACTTTTTAATAATGAAAAATATGTGGATTGAAGAGTTTAAAAGAGAAGTATGCCCAGATGTTATTTTAAAAATTGGAGTGTATACAAAGGGCCCCCAAATCTAGGCTGCCTTAGTATTTTTGCCCCTAGCTTTGTTTTCCCTTAAGTGATGTCAGGAACTGCCAGTGTTGGCCTCTGCATCTCCAAAACTGAAGACAGCTTAGTTCACTCGGTCTCGTCATTATTGTTTCATGAAAGCATGTCGTTGGGAGATCTGGGCTCAGACCTAAGATTGAAACAAAAAAGGAAAGAGAAAGATAAGAAAACCGTCTCATTTTCAAAAACCTTCACAAACCCCACGTTTTATTAAAATATAAACCATTTGAAGAAAAGCCAGAGGAAAATAGAGGAAATGGGGTATCACTGAATGAAGCAGAAGCTAAAGGATGATCATATAAATTGTCTCAAATAGCAGGTCAGGAACCAGTGGCCTGTCACCATGAAAACAAAGTTAGGGGAAATAGACAAATGAAAACAAGTGAGTTTACATTATTCCTAAGAACTTTCTGCCGGTGAGAAAATAATGGAACGACGTGTAGTCAGCATACACACAGGAATCTATATTTTGTAGGTTATATTTCAAAGGATTCATGTACCCTGAAAAGAACTGTTGACTGTAGGGTAAGTTAACACCAGGGGGTGCTGGGTGCAGGCACATTGAATCTGAACTACTGGGTTGCCATTTTAGACTGTTACCATCATCACTGTTACCACACCTGTAGTTTAGGTCATTAGATAGGTGTGGAAATGAAGCCTGGCTCCTTATCAATCGAAAGCCTATGCTCTTACCAAATACACTATGCTATTTAATATTGGTAATATTAGTGAAATTTAGCCGTTTCAGAGTTTTCCTTCTTTCCCCAAAGCATCATTTGTCAATGTTTGTTAACATACGACACTTAATGTAATCCTCATAAACAAAGTGGACACCCTCAAGTTGTTTTCTGGGATTTTTACATAAGCATATGGTCCTTGAGCAATGATGGTTTGACTTTACTATGACAATATTTGGCTTTACCGTGGTGTGAAAGTGATATGCATTCAGTAGAAACCATACTTCAGATTTCAAACTAGATCTTTACCCGGGCTAGCAATATGTGGTTCCATACTCTCTTTTGATGCTGGGCAGAGGCAGCAAGCTGCAATCCCCAGTCAGCTACACTGTCACGGGGGCAAACAACCGGTACTCTACAATGCATTGTGTTGCCAGCTTTTTTTGGATGTGATTTTGCCCAACTGTAGGCTAATGTGAGTGTTCTGAGCACATTTCAAGTAGGCTAGGCTAAGCTATGATGTTCAGTATGTTAGAGGTATTAAATGCCTTTTGACTTGTGATATTTTCAACTTACAATGAGTTTCTCCAGACATAATCCCACTGTAAGTCGAGGAGTCGCTGTATTAACAACGGGTAGACTGAAAACACCGATGTGCAAACCTGGTTCAGTACGGATGGGGTGGACATCGGCATCAGGGTTCTTGTGAATATTCCCCGGGAACATGGGGAACGTGGTGTTGTGAAATCTAGAGCTGGCCAGGAATTTCCGGATCCTTACCTCCAGCTTTCCACCCCACACAGGGGGTCCCCCTGGAGCCACCTGCCTACCTGACTGCTTATCTTCCAGCCTCTGTCTGAGCTTCTCTAGGTAACTCCTACATCCAGGGCAACTAATTTCCTGGAGCAACAGAAGAGCCTTCCTTGTATTGAGACAACATGCATGGTCTCCCTGCAAATGCTGCCTCTCTGCTCCTACATCTTCACATTTTAGTGTAGAAAGAGCAATCGTGGGTGAGAATTTAAGCACAAGTGTTTAGTTCAAAAGACAGAAAATTGGCCACGCATGGTGGCTCAAGCCTATAATCCCAGCACTTTGGGAGGCCAAGGCGGGCGGATCACGAGGTCAGGAGATCGAGACCATCCTGGCTAACACGGTGAAACCCCGTCTCTACTAAAAATACAAAAAATTAGCCGGGCATGGTAGTTGGGCGCCTGTAGCCCCAGCTACTCGGGAGGCTGAGGCAGGAGAATGGCGTGAACTCGGGAGGCGGAGCTTGCAGTGAGCCGAGATCGCGCCACTGCACTCCAGCCTGGGAGACAGAGCGAGACTCCATCTCAAAGAAAAAAAAAAAAAAAAAAAAGACAGAAAATTTTAAAAGCATCAAAACAGCCGTTACAGAGAGGGAAAAAAAGTTCTTAAGTATCTTAGAACTGCTTCATTTCAATAGATGTTGCAATAAGCTGACTTCTATATGACTTATAGGTCCCGAATCATTGATATTTATGTTTGCAAATTTGTGTGTTTTGTGTAAATGAGATCCCAGAACTACAACATAAACTTCTAATGAACTCTGTTTCTATACCTATGTGGATCCTGAGAGGTGCTCAAATATGAGAGGCTGTTTCTCTTAACCTCCTATTCTGCTTAAAATCATTTGTCTTTACTTGTACTTTTTTTTTTTTTTTTTTGAGACGGGGTCTCGCTCTTTTCGCCCGGGCCAGAGTGCAGTGGTGCGATCTCAGCGCACTGCAAGCTCCACCCCCCGGGTTTACGCTATTCTTCTGCCTCAGCCTCCCCAGTAGCTGGGACTACAGGCGCCCGCCACCGCGCCCGGCTAATTTTTTGTATTTTTAGTAGAGACGGGGTTTCACCGTGTTGACCAGGATGGTCTCAATCTCCTGCCCTCGTGATCCTCCCGCCTCAGCCTCCCAAAGGTCTGGGATTACAGGCTTGAGCCACCGTGCCCGGCCTACTTTAACTGGAGAATTCATTCTTCCAAATGTGCTCATTCATGGTTTTATTTTATTTTATTGCATTGGATTGTATCATTGCATCTCCTACCTGTGCATTTTAAGAGTTTCCACTTCAAACTTTGTTTCATTATGAGGTAAACCTTAAAAAATAAAGCCTGTTTTCTGGAGTGCCACAGACATTTTGTCAGAAGAAAATGTGACTGTCCTTTAATCGGGCACTGTTTTATGCACATAATACAAATGATTTCTGCATGCTTATCAGATCTACTTGTGGGCTTATAAATTCACTTCATCCTGGCATACGTAGTGAAGGACATTCCTCTGTGCCCTGTCAAGAATAATCAAGCTTTTAAAATCAATTCCAGTGGTGATAAAAATAACGAGGATGGTTTGTGAAAAGGGACAAAAACTTGGTAAAAATAACATTGAAGGATTTACAATATACAGAGAGAAAGTGAACCATCTCTTTGAAAATAAGTGTAAAAAAGAAAAGTGTATCTAATATTTTTATTGATGCATAAGCTATGAAGAGAACTATCAATGTTTCTGTCTTGCTCTAAATGAGATATGACTGGTGGGATCCCAGATCATTTGATTATCCGTTTGCAGACTGCTCTGTTTATTTAAAACATAATTCACTCTCTCATTCTATAGATGGACTTACTAGATAGGAGTCTGTGCTTTATAAGTGAAATTAACTTAGATAATTTTTTTTTTTTTCTTTTTGAGATGGAGTCTTGCTCTGTCGCCCAGGCTGGAGTGCAGTGGTGCGATCTTGGCTCACTGCAAGCTCCGCCTCCCAGGTTCATGCCATTCTCCTGCCTCAGCCTGCTGAGTAGCTGGGACTACAGGTGCCCGCCGCCATGCCCAGCTAATTTTTTTGTATTTTTTAGTAGAGACGGGGTTTCACCGTGTTAACCAGGATGGTCTCGATCTCCTGACCTCGTAATCTGCCCATCTCGGCCTCTAGATCATTTTAATGACAACTGATAAAGAGATAATCAAATGATAACCTGTTTTTCTCAGTGATAGAAATATGTGATGGAAAGTATCTGAGACTAATGAAAGACATGGAAACTAATTTACCGATGATCCTTGGATACTAGTTATGGAAGTATACTTATATTATCTATGCAAATATACAAGGTCTTTTGAAAACCTTTTACATGCCCAACGCCAAATATATTAAGTGAAGCTACACAATAAGATACTGTAGGATCAGTAAACAGGTATTGCTAACGTTTGTAGCAAAATCCTGTTGATCCACATTGTTGGGTCTTTCTTGGTATGGTCTAGTGAGATATCAGTGCGTGTGTATATATGTATCAGTGCATTTTAGTTCATTTTGTGTTGCTATAACATAATACTGGAGGCTGACAAATTAAGAAGAGGTGTTTGCTTGGCTCACAATTCTGATGGCTGGAAAGTTTAAGATTGAGCATCTGCATCCAGTGAGGGCCTCAGGTTGCTTCCACTCATGACAAAAAGCAGAAGAGAAGTGCGCATGTACAGGGAGATTACATGGTGAAAAAAGGAAGCAGCTGGGCATGGTGGCTCACGCCTGTCATCTCAACACTTTGGGAAGACGAGGTGGGCAGATCACGAGGTCAGGAGATCGAGACCATCTTGGTCTCTACTAAAAATACAAAAAATTAGCCGGGCCCGGTGTTGGGCGCCTGTAGTCCCAGCTACTTGGGAGGCTGAGGCAGGAGAATGGCATGAACCCGGGAGGCAGAGCTTGCAGTGAGCTGAGATCGCACCACTGCACTCCAGCCTGGGGGACAGAGTGAGACTCCGTCTAAAAAAGAAAAAAAGAAGCAAGAGACAAAAGCCAAATAAGCCAGACTCTTTTTAACAACATACTCTCTCAGGAATTAATTCCCGAGAGAAGGGGAATGCACACCTGAGGGAGGGCATTAATCTATTCATGAAGTATTTTACCCCGTAACCAGAAAAACTTCCACTTGGCCCCACCTCCCAACACTGCCACACTGGGGATAAAATTTTAGTATGGGTTTTGGCAGGGACAAACCACATCCACACCATAGCAGTAAATATTGATATACAGTTGACCCTTCAACAACATGGGTTTGAACCGTGCAGGTCCACTTACATGTGGATATTTTTCAGTAAAACTTACACTGGGTGTGCCTGCCTCTCCTGCCTCCCCTTCCACCTTCTCCACCTCTCCCACCTCTGCCACCCCAGAGACAGCAAGACCAACCCCTCCTCTTCCTCAGCCTACTCAATGAGAAGATGATGAGGATGGAGAACTTTGTGATGATCCACCTCCATTTAATGAATAGTGCTATGATATGGATATTTATTCCCTTCAAACCTCATGTTGAGATTTGACCCCTGATGTTGGAGGTGGGGCCTAGTAGGAGGTATTGCGTCATGGGGGTGGATCCATCATAAATAGGTTAATGCCATCCCTCAGGGGTGAGTGAGTTCTCACTCTGTGAGCTCCCTCCAGAGCTGATATTTAAAAAGATTCTGGTACCTCCCCTCTCTCTCTCTGACTTCCTCTGTCTCCATGTGATCTTCACACAGTTGGTTCCCCTTTGCCTTCCACCATGAGTGGAAGCTGTCTGGGGTTTTCACCAGATGCCTAATCTTGAACCTTCCAGCTATCAGAATTGTGAGCCAAATAAACCTTTTTTCTTTATGAATTATTACCCAGACCTCTGTATACTGTCATAGCAATACAAAATAGACTAAGACATATAGTAGTATATTTTCTCTTCCTTACAATTTTCTTAATAACGTTTTTTTCTCTAGCTTGCTTTATTGTAAGAACACTGTATTTAATACAGATAACATACAAAATATGTGTTAATTGCCTGTTTTTGTTATCAGTAAGGCTTCCAGTCAATAGCAAACTATTAGTAGTTAAGTTTTGAGGGAGTCAAAATTTATACATATATTTTTAACTGTGTGGGGACTGGACACTGTGGCTTTGTTCAAGAGTAAACTAAATACATAGAATCTCATCTTCTGAATATTATAAACATTATTAGACGTGTCTTTCCTCAAAGGTGATTATTCTATATAGTGATTTGGTTTGGAGGTAGAAAAAGTGCAGAGAAAATTTAAGCAAATATTAAACATCACTTTTTCTTCTATACACTCTATTTTTCTTACTGACAGAATTTTTCTGGAACATTTAACAGTATCTTCTAACAGGTACCTCTCTCACCCAACTTGTCCTCAAGTAATCCCCCTACCTCAGTTGAGCTGTATATGGTGGCTCACACACCTGTAATCCCAGCACTTTGGGAGGCCGAGGAAGGGGGATTACTTAAGGATAAGACTTCAAGACCAGTCAGGACAACATAGCAAGACCCCATCGCTGCAAAAAATTAAAAAAAATATTAGCCAAGCATGGTGGTGGACACCTGTAGTGCCAGCTACTCAGAAGGCTAAGGCAAGTTGATCACTTGGGAGCAGAAATTTGAGGTTATAGTGAGCTATGATTGCACTAATGAACTCCAGCCTGGGTGACAGAATCAGATGCTGTGTCTTAAAAAACAAACAACAACAAAAAACGTTGGTTTGAAATTTGACAAAATGTTCTGCATTCACATTTAGAATAAACGTTTTATATGAGGAAGTTAATATGTCATTTTCTATAATTAAATACAATATAATGTGGGTTTAAAATTTCATTCTGATTCTTATTTTGGCATCATTAAATATCATTACTCGATCTTGATATTTAGAAGGTTTCAGAAGCCAATTACTAGTGCCTCAAAAACTCAGTACTGTGGAAATGACATATCATTGGGTTCTGGTAATGAGGAATGACTATTTTTCTTTGGATGTTACTATCAAAACATTTTTATAGGCATCTGGAAAATATCTGCCTGATTAAAGAGCTGTGTTTTAAATGCTCAAGATCACGTGTGCTTTTTTCTTCCCTGTGTTCCCCAAGCAAATGGAATGCCATCTGGATTCTAGATTTGGCTTTCTCATGTAATGGATGTGAGACCCTGAGCTAGTTACTTAACATCATCAGGCTTTCTGGAAAGTGAGGATAGGAATGCCTGAATATTGAATTTAAAATATTCAAGTTAATCATGTATAAACTATAAAGATTTTTGAAATATAAAATATGCATCATTTCATTCACTCACTCACTCATTCTTTTATTTGTTAATTCATCCACCATTTACTGAATGCCTTCTGTGCACTAGGTACTGGGCTTGGTGCTACCTACTGGAAAATTAATAAAACATTGTCTTTAAGGGGCTCACAATGTAATGGGGGAAATCACCAAGAAAATAAACAATTTCAATACCATGTGTCAAGTGTTAAATTCCAGTACAACATGTTGGTGGTTACAAAAACGTAAAAACAAAAATGAAATATTATGGGAGCAGAGATTACACTTAGTATCCTCCAGAAGGTTACCAAAATCCATTTTATATTTTACATATAGTTTGTTCTGTCATCTTCTAAGAATACCTAAAAATAGGAATTACCTCTATAATTTTAAAAAATAATTTAGTGCAATACAGCATAGGAGGAGAGTATGTCTCCCTCTATGTGAGTGGATAACCGTCTCTGTAATATATACTTTTCTGAGATTTGTTACTCATATTCTTTACTCAGTACTATATTCAGTACACAATGGAATTCCTGTTACTGTTGACTAGATGACTGTCGAAATTGGCTCATTTCCCCAAAATTGTCCACAAGGTGAAGGACTTGAGGGGTCCCTGAAAGGCTAGGTCCACAGAAGAACTTTCCCCATGGTACTGGCCAGGGGAAAACATTCCTAGTCAGAGACAAGTATTTCCAGGATTTAAACTATCTTTCCATTTTTGTAAGAATGATAGCTGCCCTTTCCCCTGGATCTTGCACCTAAGTAAGACTTAGCAGAAGCAGTCTAATTTTATTGTTTGCAGTTATGTTCTAAAATGTTTTTAATTCGTTTAATCCAACAATTTGTCGCATTAAAAAAAAAAAAAAAAACTAACAATCAAAACAAACAGCCAGGCATGGTGATGCATGCCTGTAGTCCCAGCTACTGGCTACTAAGGACACTGAGGCAGGAGGATTGTTTAAGCCCAGGAGTTTGAGGTTGTAGTAAGCGTTATGACATCTGTAAATAGCCACTGCATTCCAGCCTGGACATCTAGCATGACCCTGTCTTAAACAATACCTCTACAAATGACAACAATGACAAGCACCCTGATTCAAGATCTGGGATTTTTTGTTTCCTCCTCCGCTTGGCTTTGCTCTGAGGAGGATAAGTCACGTAACCTGTTGGGCCTCAGTTTTGTCATATGATAAATGAGAAAATGGAACTAGGTGATCTTTCATGAACCTTTTATTTTTAACAGTCTTGTTTTAGTGATCCTATGACTCTGTCACAGAATGTTAAAAAAAATAATTCAGAAGAAAAATTTACAGGTTGAAATGGATTTGAGAATTGAAGCATGAATTGCTGGCAGGTGTTTGCAATATACTTTTGGGTGCAAACGGATGTGTTATCTTGGGAATGAAGAGTGAGAAGCATTTAGATATCACAGTTGTTGGCTAGAAGAGGAAGGATTGGTTAAAAAATTAAAGGTATATTTGGTTAATGATATATATGTAAAAATCTTATTTGTTTGCAAAGAGTTAGACACATCTGAATTTTCTTACATTATACATTGTAATGCAGGGGCCTTCTTGCAGGGCCTTGGGATGTGTCCTGTACACAAATAACTGATACCTCCTGAAACCTTGCATCAGGGGAATCCTGGTGGATTTCCACATTATCACCACAGGCCTTTCAATATAAAATGCTGATTTGAATGACATACTGTCATTGAGTTGATCTCTAAAAGTTGCTGGAAATTTTCAGAAGAACTTGATCCTCAGATACTACATATGCCCTTTCCAAGGCATAAAAGGTAAGTCCAGTGGTACTTTCATAAAAGCACTGCTTAAATATATAAACAAAAACATTTTGTGGAGTTCTACAATCTAGAAAGAAATGTGACTTGTGCTGTTTCTTCTTTTATTTTTAAAATCCACCAATAGAAACTGTCCCTAAGAGGCTTTGTCCTTTAATCCTAGCTGATTGTTAAACGGTTTGTTATTAATATCTTACAATTCAGTGCAGATGGTTTTGAGCAGTGATCAGATGAACAAAGATGCTTAGTGATGGTTCAATTTCCGGGTTGGATTTGCATCCTAATCTTAGTCTTAAAAAAATTAGAAAGCTGTTTCCACATGAGCTGTATAATGTTTTACTTTTTTACTACAATTGCTGTAATACTTCAGTCCTTAAGCATAGAAAATAATGCCCATTATTATATTGGGTGAAATGAAAGCTTTTTAAGTGTAAAACATGTAATTGTAGTCTCAAAACTATTTATGTGGCATCAATTATGGTGAAATTAGTTCATGAAGGTAGGTGAAAATACATAAACATTGTGTATATGCTAATTCATCTAGATAAGAATTTTCATGTAGATTTGGTCAGCTGTGTTAGATTTAAATGTAGTTTCAGATCTGGTTCAGATGGAAAGTAGATGAAGCTGCCAACCTTTGGCAGCAGCACACAGGTGGAATAGCTGAGATAGAATAGGTGATTGGTGAAGAAGATAGAAACATTTCTAACACATAGAAGATTTCAGGACAGTGAGTGTGGCACATTCTAGATGTTTCCCACACTGCAGCAATGGGAGATATACAGATCTTCCTCAGTAAACCCCTATTTCTAGACTACGTGAGTTTCCAGTTGAATCAGATTTGAGAAATGCAGTGTGCTAAAGGCAGCTCTTCTTAACTCCCTCTGTGAACCCAAGGAATCTGTCTCATTCATTGGAAGGGTCTAGGAAGGGAAGAGAACTCTTTTTTTTTTTGAGACGAAGTGTCACTCTGTTGCCCAAGCTGGAGTATAGTGGTGTGATCTTGGCTCACTGCAACCTCCAATGCCCAGGTTCAAGCAATTCTTCTGCCTCAGCCTCCTGAGTAGCTGGGACTACAGGCACACGCCACCATGCCTGGCTAATTTTTGTATTTTTAGTAGAGACGGGGTTTCACTATGTTGGCCAGGCTGGTCTTGAACCCCTGACCTCATGATCCGCCCACCTCGGCCTCCCAAAGTGCTGGGATTACAGGTGTGAGCCACCATGCCCAGCTGGAAATAGAACTCTTACAATTTTTCTGAGTTTATCTCTTTACATCAGCTGCCTCCTTACTGTAAACCAAAAAATACAAGTCTAAGCCCCCCAGCTGACTGAATGGACACACCCTCTTGGCCAAAGGGACCCAAGGAAACCTGAAAAGGTAGTTCAGGCCATGACAGGAACAGAGGCCATCAGACATGTCTCATTATACACTCTGCCTTTTGGAGTTTAGACACGACTGAGCAGCATTAACATTAAAATAGAGATCCTAAGATGGACAGAAAGATTCTTCATAGCAATAAGATACCAAATTCCAACCTAACTTTAGTATAATATCACATAACAGATAAAGAAGGAAATCAAAATATTTTACCCCAAAATATCTTTCCTTGCCATATTTTGGAAATGGTTCTGCAAAGCTGTCTTTTGTGGGGGAAATTTTGCACCTGTAAGGAATCCCTATTAACATAACTAGATCTTTCATCTTCCAGGCCCTCCCAATCCTGAAGAGATTAACAGAGAGTCTAGCACCTTTTAAAAGTCTGAATGGGAAACATTTGCTATCTATTGTCTCTAAGGGCAGCCACCTATGAGACTTCATCTACATAATAAGAACCTCAGTCTCCACAACCCCTTATCTTAATCCAGACAGTTTCTTTCTACTGATTCCAGGTCTTTAGATAATAATTGGTTGGAATAATTGACAATTCCAACCAATTGTCAATCAGAAACTCTTTGAATCCACCTATAACCTGTGAGCAACACCCCCAACCACTTCAAGATGTCCTGCCTTTCTGGACTGAACCAATGTATACCTCGCATGTATTGATTGATGTCTTATGTTTCCCTAAGACGTGTAAAACCAAGCTGTAACCCAACCACCTGCAGCTCATGTACTCAGGACTTCTTGAGGCTATGCCTCAGGCCATGGTCATTGGTATTTGGCTCAGAATAAACCTCTTTAAATATTTCAGTTTGGCTTTTTTCATTAACACTACACTTTTTAAGTTTGACCTAAAGGTTTCTCTGTACATAGTGAACTGTCATCTAACTGGACGTGTAAAGGGACTGTAATCTACACTGTAACAAGTAGCTGAGTCTCAGCCAATCACAGCATCCCAGTTTCAGCCAATCACTTGCATCCAACTATTCAAACTGAGCTCAAATAAGCCTGTAAGCAGCCCTGCTGTTTCTGTGCCTCTCGTCCCTTTTGTCTACCTCACTTTCCTTTTTCTGTCCATAAATGTTATCCCAACCATGTGACAGTCCCTCAGTTACTCTGAACATATTATGGTTCTGGAGGCTGCCCAATTCTCAAATCATTCTTTGCTCAATTAAACTCTGTTAAATTTGTCTAAAGTTTTTCTTTTAATAGCTACTACTACTCTAGAGAAATATCCACAAAGACGTAATGTGTTTGTTCGGAATACCTTGTTGAATGGAAAGAAGGGTCTGTCCTAAGGGACAATTGCAAGGATTGAGACACTTGGTGGCAATTTTGAGGAAAAAGCAATTTTTTTTTGAGATGGATTCTTGCTCTGTCACTCATTCTGGAGTGCAATGGCGTGATCTCGGCTCACTGCAGCCCCTGCCTCCCAGGTTCCAGTGATTCTCCTGCCTCAGCCTCCTGGGTAGCTGGGATTACAGGCGCGTGCCACCATGCCTGAGTAATTTTTGTATTTTTAGTAGAGACGGGATTTTGCCATGTTGGCCAGGATGGTCTCAAACTTCTGACCTCAGGTGATCCGCCCACCTCCGCCTCCCAAAGTGCTAGGATTACAGGCATGAGCCACTGCGCCCGACTAGTAAAATATTTTTGAGTAGATGGCTAAACAGCAGAAAGCCCTGGGAGGCAGGACGGCCCAGAGAAAGGATATTGGTTGAGCTGAGTGTCAGGCCTGGGGCTCGGTGTTGGTGTGGATCTGGGATCCAGATACCAATGACTAGCTGGGTGATATCGGACATTTCCTATAGGTAGGACTAGTATTTTGGTAGGGTTCTTTTCATTTGTAAATAACGTCAAGAACTCAAAATACCAAGCGTAGGGCTTGATGCTCCATGGATCCTCCATAAAGCAAGACTCTTTGCTTAGCTTTTCATTATTTCATTCATTTCAGCATTTATGTCAGTGTGTAAAGGATACAGCAACCTGTTGACTTAGCCAGCACATTTTCTCAGCTTAGATACTGGTAGTTAACAGTATTATTTATCTCGTCTTGCATGATGTACCTCTAAGAGGTTTGTTCATCACCACCATTTCACCACAGCCCTTCTCCCTGTTAGCTTAGCTGGGGTTTCCAAACGTCAATATAACAGATTAAATTTCTTTGTTAAATATGAAGGTGAGTGAGCTGAAGTATGACTTGTCCCAAAATGTAACACCTTATGAGACAGGCCTAGAACCTAGGTCTTCCATACCCTTTCATGCTGCCTGAGTATCTCAGTGTGGTTGGCAGCCTATTAAAACACAGACATAACTGATTCAACTCAGGGTCACAAATGTACATATCAGGGAACTTTGTTTTATTTCGTTTGGTCATATGGATGCTGAGAGAAGGTAGTGTAAGGACCACTGCTTACCGTTCTCAGCTGTTCTCTTCCTAAGCGCAAGTAGTGGGACCCTCACAGCCCTGGATGCATTGTTGTTTTTTTTTATCTCGAAGTAAATGACTGAAGAATCAGCAGGAGTTTTCCAGAATGAAAATGTAATACCTTGGTCTGTTTGGAACTCAGTCAACACCTTAGGAATGTTCTGCCAAGCTTGTTTATGTTACAAATTAAATGTATGTATCTTTAATATTTTTGTTGTTGGTATTCTCTCAAAACAAGAAGATAAATGACATTTTTAATGTTTTTTTTGAGACAGGGTCACACTGTGTTGCCCAAGCTGAAGTGCCATGGTGCAATCTCGGCTCCCAGGCTCAGGTGATCCTCACGCCTCAGCCTCCAGAGTAGCTGGGACCTCGGGCGCACACCACCACACCCAGTTAATTTTTTGTATTTTTGGTAGAGATGGGGTTTCACCATGTTGCTCAGGCTGGTCTCGAACTCCTGAGCTTAAGTGGTTTGCCCATCTTGGTCTCCCAAAGGCTGGGATTACAGGCATGAGCCACCGTGCCCGGCCTTGTTTTACCCTATTTTGATTCTTCCATGGCTTTTGGAAAATGCACTAGATTTTTAATTCTTTGGGCCACTCTCAGATAAAATATCGCTGTGTACTACTATTGACATGTTAATTTGTCTTCTAACGGACAATTATATATCCCAAAGTCATGCCTACCTAATGGTACTTTAAAAGGACTAATTTGATGATCACTGTTGAGGATGTAGAAAGGCTGTGACCCTGGCCTTTCAAACACATTCTATTCAATTTTGCAAATTGAGAAGGAAAGTAAGAGGAGAAAGAAAAAAACTGCTGTAATAAAATTGGAAATTGTTTCAGGAAATTGCACGTGCTATTGAGATCTTTCTCTGATAATTTAGAAAAGGAAATACAAATTCTATTATATATTTTATATTGTACATATATATATTTTTTTTTTTACTGGTTTATTTTCAGTTGAAGATTAATTACATCCAGGATTGTAAATTGCTCACGGGTCATTACCAGTCACCTACTGTCTTGCAGCAGAGCAGGAAATCAGATGTGGGCGCTTTAAGATGAGCTGGTTTAGCGTTCACTTACTTAAAGATCAGTACCAAGCCGAACCCCCTTGGGAGGAGTCGATGGCTCATTTGGCCCCATGGGGAGGGCGGTAATTAAACTCTGAAGGCAGCCCTGATGTTCAGCTAAAAGCTGGTCTTTAAATAGTAATACACTCGCCTTGTAAAGTGCTAGGCCCTCGGGTGGCTGTTGACACAGTGCGAGGAGCTGGCGCTTTTTTCTATAAAAGCCAAATTGAAGAAACTGTTATGAACTCATCTGCATAAAGCAATATGATTTTGCCTGAGGGTGCAGGCAATGGGGAGTGATTAACCAACCGGCTCTCTCCCCGCTCCTCCGCAGCTCTGCTAACATGCCACTTGTCACTAAAAAATTGGAGACACCATATGCCAGGCTGCCTCTGCTGAGCGCCCCTTACTGATGCCACGCGAGGAATCCCTCCCCAATTTGGGGGGCTGCGGGACACTGCGCAGTGTCTGTCTGTAGAGGAAATGCTGCCTGCCTGCCTTCGTCTTGCTCCCTGCCTTTCTCAGCAAGGACATTCCATTGTTCCAGGGAACGTGGCAGAGACGTTCTGAGTTTGCTTGAACAATTTGAGGCACATTTGAAGGACAGTGGAAGCATTGCTCCAGAAACCCAGTGTCCAGACATCTTGTTTCCTCTCCTCCCTGTGCTGAAGGCTGGAAGAGGTCCCCTGTGGCTGGTTCTCATGACCTGCCTTTTGATTCCACCGGTGTCTTTGTACTTGTGCAGGAAACTCAGGAGGGCATGCCTTCCTCCTGCAAGCCTTTTATTTCTCCTAAAACCTACTTTGCGTTCTGTCTCCCGATTTTTCTGTGCTCCATTAATTATGCAAACCTCTTTTGATTCAATGTGCAAACAGTGCATTAAGGTTTTAACCTTGAGGAGAATGGTTTTCATGAGGCCTGACAGCTGAATCCCAGGACTTGGAAAAGGAGACGACTGTGTTTGGCTTTTGAAGAATTAGCTTTCACGTCCCTCCGGGTGATAGGTTTGGGTGCAGAGTGGCTTCTGGGCTGATTTGATTATAAGCCACCATTTTGTGTTTCCCTCAGTCACCAGAATTAAGATCTTTCTAACAGCAGGCGTGTAAGAAGCAAGAAAGGAAGGCCGTGGTGTGGGAGTGTGGAGAAAAATGGATTCTAGAAAGGTTAGCAGGCTGTCTTCCTTGCTGCTATTGTGTCTACACCGGGGGACAGTGGGGTCATGTCTGCCTCTGGGCTGTCTTCCCCAGGATAGACAGGGTTGGGGACAGAGAGGACGGTGAGGATTCCCCATGACCAAGGTTGGGCTGCTCTTGGCTCTGTCTTAGTTGCTCTGCTTGATGTTATGAGGGGATTTGGATGGGGTTGACATGGGCCTCAAGAAGAAATGCTTCTCAGCCCCCTTGCCCCCAATAACTGGGGGGTATCAGCCTTTAGAAAGGATCCT
Organism: Homo sapiens; assembly: GCF_000001405.40. Classification (NCBI taxonomy): domain Eukaryota; kingdom Metazoa; phylum Chordata; class Mammalia; order Primates; family Hominidae; genus Homo; species Homo sapiens. The sequence continues at coordinate 686,584 of NW_025791814.1, read as the reverse complement.
CCAGGCTCCCACCCCAGCCCCAGCCCCTGGAGCAAAACCACATTCTCACTAGGCCTCTCCTGAAAAGGGGAAGTGTAAGACGTGACTTCCCTTAGAAAGACCTGAGCTTCTCTTTTTCTATGGGTTTTGGGGTGAGGCCAGCAGTGACTTAATCCCAATAAATATTAAATGAGACATAAATCCAACTTTAGCAAATGTCACCCACAGATTTTTGCTAAATCAAACTTATTTGTATTTTATTTTTTTAAATGGATGAACTTCATCTCGAAGGAATATAAAAAAACTGACAAACCAAAGGCCACTGAGGTCCATGCATGGACTAGGGAGGAAAACCCCATGTATTTACTGCCAGATCCATGCCAGGAGCTGTGCTTGGGCGAAGCCATAGCTGGTGGCATAGGTATTGTCACCCCCTACTCCTCACATGGAAACTGAGGTGGCTCAGAGAAGTCTACATGATTTGCCTAAGGTCAAAAGGCAGGGAAGTGGCTGTTATTTGAATCCAGATCTGTCAGACCCAAAGCCCATGATCTGTTGGCCACTTTGCCGTTTGCTTTGGGCCAGAGTCTGCCTGAGGCCCTGGCAGAGATGTCACTGACTGGGCGGTGGCCCTTTTCCAGATACATATCCCCATGACCCAAGGAAATGCTGCTCACAGCTACCCTGAGTGTGTGGACCCCCAGCTCTCCTGCACAGCTTCCTACTGAAAATATCTCCCCATAGATGCCTTGTGAATCATTTTCCCAAGAAAAGGACTTCTCTACACCTTAACCCTCTTTAAAAATGCTTGTGTCCTAGGAGGGGAGAATGTACCCGCTGAGTTTCATGCAGGGGTCTTGTCAGGGAAGACAGAATGAGTGCCTATGCACTGCCAGGTCCTGGTACCAGATCACATCATTTAAGTATTACGACCAGGTTACTAGGGATTATTTGGATCTTCTTTTGTGGAGGAGGGAACAAAGGCTCGCCAAGGCTGGAAACCCACCAAGGTTTCCCACTGGTAGAGAAAGCCCAGACTGGACCTGACTTTCTGTTCCCAAAGCCCTTGACACGTGGCCACTCCAGTCACTGGTTTTCTCAGTGACAGACTGGCTGGGCTACACACAAGGGGGCTAGGGGCTGAAGCCACTTTTTGAGGTGACTCTTTGTTCTCCCCTCATTCAGTAAGTGTTGGAGGCTGGTGCTCGGAGCCATAGCCAGACCATTGCTGGTGCCAGCTCAATGCCTGCAGTGTGCTGGGATGGTGTGCATATTTCACACATCATCTCACACAATTCTTACCCCTGCCAAGTGTCCCAGGACACCTGTTTTAGAGATGAGGAAACTGAGGTTCCCAGAAAGTCAGTGGCAGGTGCAAAGGTCATGCCTCTTTGTGTGACTTCTCTGTGGTCTGTCTGGTTTCCCATGACATTTCTGGCTTTTATAAACTATTAAAGCACAGACTGAAAGAAAAAGTGGGACTTTGCAGGTGAGGCTGTTTAACGTGCTGGAAGAGTGAATATATGTAAAATTTCGGATATTACAGGGCTGCCTATCCCCAGTGGAGGTTGTCTGGGCAGAAATGATTTCCCTGATTTGTGAAGATTAATAAATATTTTGTAGGTCCTTGGTCAACTCAGGCTGCTGTCACAGAATACCATCGTCTGGGTGGCTTAAACAACAGACATTGATTTCTCAATTTTAGGGGCTGGACATCCACAATCAAAGCACCAGTAGATGCTGTGTCTGCTGATGTCCATGTGGCTTTCAGATGGTGGCCTTCTTACTGTGTCCTTGTATCCCTACATGGCACAGAGCAGAAGGACAGAACACAAGCTCTCATGTCTTTTCATAAGGGCACTAATCTCATTCTTGAGGGCTTCATCCTCATGACCTAATCACCTCTCAAAAGTCCTACCTCCTAATACCCTCACCTACTGGGGTTTATAATTTCGACAAATGAATTTTGGAGAAACATAAACAATAGGTTCCTAAATTTTGAATTCTGGCGCCTATTCTACCTTTTTTTTTTTTTGGAAACTTTTAATTAAATAAAAGTGAATACATGACCCAGTTTTCTTATTTGGAAAAAAGTGACGCAAGTTCAATTTGACTATCAAATGCAAATTGAAAGATAATTTTCATTTGGAAAGGTTCAATTGATAAATATATAACAACAATAAAAATGGCTAAAGTACATTTCCTAGGGTTGTCATAACACATTAACATAAACTGTGTGGCTTAAAAAAATTATTCTCACAGTTCCAGAGGTGGGAAGTTCAAAATCAAGGTGTCAGCAGGGTCGAGCTCTTTCTGAAAGCTCTAGAGGAGGATTATTTTTGCCTCTTCCAGTTTCTGGTGGCCCCAGGCATTCTTCAGCATTCCTTGGCTTGTGGCCGTATCACTTGAATCTGTGCCTTCATCTTCGCAGGGGGTTCTTCTCTATGTCTCTGTGTGGCCTCTCCTCTTCTTACGAAGACACTAATTATTGGGTTTAGGGCTCACCCTAAATTCAGGATGATTTCATCTGAAGGTCCTTAACTAATTACATCTGCAAATACCCTATTTTCAAATAAGGTCACATTCTGAGGTTCCAGAGGACTTTCTTAATTTTGGGGTGACACCGCTCAACTTAGTACAGCTGCTATTCATGTGAAGTTTCCGATGTGACAGACTCTTCCAAGTGATTTGCATATACTTTGCATAGACTGCCTCCCATAATTCCTGTTCTACTCCGTGACCAAGGCTTATTCCTCAATTTCTAGAACCCTGCATGGTGAGTTATTTTCAGCCCACCTGCCTGTATTATGAAGCTTCTCCCCTGCCCTCCTGACTCCTGCTGATGCTGCAGGAAATTTCACCAGTGCGATGGCTCACCCCTCACTTCCAGGTATCCTCTTGGTTAAACCCAACTCACACTGACTAAGAGTTCAACTTGGCACTTACTGTCTATGGAACAGGCATTTTCAAAGTTAAAAAGTTAGCTTTTGAAAGAACAGTGAAAGAAGTGTTCCCCTTGGGTAGGTAGATGAGACAAATAATGAACACAACCGAGAGCAGCAATATTTTATTTACAAATATTTTTAATTATGTAAATTTATATGAAATAAAACTTTTAAACAGGAGATTATGAATAATAATAGTTGTCATTTAATACTTTCGTTGCCTGGGGACAGTCCTAAAATTACTAAAGTAATGCTTGGCGGCTAGGTGACCAGAGACTCATGAGAAGTACTAATTTGATATCCCTTTAGAGGTAAAGGTGGAAGACTGATACCAAGTAGACAGGGTTTGGAGGCTTCCTCAAGCTGGGACTTAGTTTCCCTTGTAGATTTGGGATCCCTGCCCCCCCATTCCTTTCCTCCACAGACTCACTGTGGCTCCCCCTTCCCATGAGGTATGAATAAAGGTGTGAAGAAGGGATGTGTGATTTCCATTCAACCTGACATTCTGCTTAATGCATTCCCCTAGAGGGTCGCTTGTGATAGGACATGACCTACCCCAGATTCTGGTTCTGGGTCATGAGGCCAATGCTCTGTGACCTGGCTGCCCATGTCCTCTTCATCACTTAGCTAAAGGCCACCTGGATGCCAAATGGTGGATCCCAGTGGCCATCATAACATTTCTTGTCCCCATCCCTATAATTGATTGCTGGAATCAGGGAAATGGCAGGACTTCCTAGGACTAAAATGTTTAGGCCTTTGGGGTGTTGGAGGTGAATACATCAGGTTTTAAAAATTTATGGCATTTAGACACACACTGTCAGAGGGAAGAGGAATCTTACTTGTCTGACCTTTCCAGCCTATCAAATATTTTAAATACTTAAACATATTTTGTATGTGAGATGTATTCTGTATTCTTTTTTGAAATGAGCCAGATACATTTTATTTAATGCATTGATTGTTTCCCCTTAAAAATGAATCAGATAAATATCTCAAGGAGCATATATTGTCTTCAGGGAAATGCCACACAGTGTGATCAGCACCACCGCAGAGGCCCGGGTGAGGGGCCAGTATTCAGAAGAGGACACCTACCTGGAGCTCTTTCCTGGGGTCGTTTCTAATATTGTGACATGATGCTGGACTAGGAAGACCTGGAGTCTGGTTAATGGTGCAAATATTTAATAACTAGGATTTTAAGCACTTTGCTCCAAGCCTTCATTTCCTTATTGACAAAATGAGCACCTTAGCCCATTTTGGGTTGCAATCATAAAGTTCAAAAGACTGGGTGGCTTAGAAACAGCAGACAATTATTCCTCACTGTTTTGGGGGCTGGAAGTCTGAGATCAGGTTGTCAGCAGATCTGTCATCTGGGGAAGCCTTGCTTCCTGCTTCCCAGACAGTGCCTTCTCTTTGACTCCTCAGATGGCAGAGAGCAGAGCTGAAGAATAAGCTAACTCTTGCGTCTTTTCTAAGGGCACTAATCCAATTCTTGAGGGTCCCACCCTCACGACCTCACTACCTTCCAAAGGCCCCACCTCCTAATACAATCACAGTGGGAGTTAGGATTTCAACATATGAATTTTTGGGGAGCACAAACTTTCAGTCCATAGCAATGAGCAATTAGAACAATTTGAAAACCATTAATCTAACTTCCACAACATTTGAGAGTAGATGCTGGGCATCCAAATGTGTTTCTTGTGACATCGTTACCCCTAAAAATGTTCTCTTATTACAGTTTCAAATTCATGTTGAATAGGTCATTCCCAACGATATGTATAGATAGCACTGAACATTCATTTTTTGAGATTGAGTATTTATTTTTTGAAACATTCTATATATTTTGAATAATCTTCTTCTGAAATCAGTCAGTTAGAGAACATGTAGGCAGATAGTCTCAATGAAGAAGTGGATCAAAAATGCCATGTGTTTTCAGAAAACAAGTTTCTTTTGTTAAAACTTTGAGTTCCTATTTCTTTTTCTCCATGCTCTTTTGTGTATTTTGCTTGGTTCTTTCTTTGCTTTCAGCCACTGATCTATGCAAGTGACATTCTTTTTGATCATCAGGACTGCAAGTTATCCCAAAATAATGCCTTTTGTTTTAGAGGCGTTGCCACATCTACCAGGTCCAAAACAAATAGAAATTTAAATTTATTCCAAATACTTGTCTTCTACTACTTTCAGTGCAATACATTTTGCTGAATTTGGTTGGATTTCTTCCAAGTCTTCCTAAACATCAATATACTGAAAAATCATTCTTCCTTAAGTATAATATTATTACTTTATTAAAGTTCATTTTAATACATGTAATGACATCACAACTTGTAAAATGTTGACCTTAGGTCTTATATATACTTACGCACTTATATGCATTTATGTGTGTGTATAGACCACACACACACACAAATATACACATATATGTGATATATTAAACATTTTAAAATTCTTGACTCTGAGAAAGGCCTCTATTCTTTTAATAAGGAAATAACTTTCAATTTATGAAGTAAACTAAACCAGAATAAATGGTACAGACAACTATTTATGAAGAGCATTATGTTTAGGATTCTTCTCTTAAAATACTTAAATTTAAGCTTTGCTGTTTATTCTCGTGTGTTTCAAATATGTATTATCTGATGCTTACTAGCACGCACTTTATTTTATTTGTAAACTTACTTTCCACATAGGTCTTGTTTCAGAGAAGCATTTAAATATAGTCTGTTACTAAAGGCTGGCATAAAATAAGTATTGAAATAGAGGCAATTGCAGAAAGTTCTGGACTAGTTATAGTAATGTGAATGCTTTTTTATTGAAAATTTTTATGTTATCTAATATGCAGAAAACAAATGAACAAAAATAAAAATAACAATGGCCTGTAAAATGACATTCATTAGTATTTTGATGTATAAAAAGACTTCCCCTGTATCAAGATTATATTGATATGCAACTGGATTTTCTTCTAACACTTTTATTGTTTTATTTATAACATTTAGTTTTGTAATATGCACCTGTAGTCCCAGCTACTCAGAAGGATGAAAGCAGGGTAATCACTTGAGCTCATTAACTTTGAGACATGCCTGGGCCACACAGCGAAACCCCATCTTTAAAAAAAAAATACCCCAAACAAAAAACCTTTAAAAGTAATATATAT